>NC_000013.11:71438409-71589924 GCF_000001405.40 Homo sapiens | reverse complement strand
GGTTTAATAAAATGATCTGTGTTATTAATTATACTTTTAGCATGAATGTGCTGTCATTTACTGAAATGTAAAAAAGGAAAATCAGTGATAATGATGATAATATAAAACATCAATTATATTAAGTTAGCAAATTTTGTTCTTTTTTCAGTATTTGATGATTTATGCTTAATGAGGCAAGGGGTTGAAGTTTATTTCAATATGATGAAATTTCTAGATTTATAATTAGTATTATACTCATATCAGGTCTTTTTAGGTGAATCAAAACGTCAATATCAATGAATTTAAAGCTATATCCCCAAACTGAATTAAGGAGTTGTGTAACCATGTTCACATTTTTAATACTGATTAGCTTCACTCCTAGAGTAAGATACTGACTTACGGTCTACAAAATGAGTATATAATTTGACTTAATGAATATGAGATCATCATTTATTTACTATGTTTATCAAAATAAAATTTTGTAGTTTAAAAATACAGGCTACCAAAAGCTGAAAAGAAATAATCTCTGTGGTATTTAAAACTACAAAAATAATAATTATCACTATTTTTCAATTAATATTTCTCCTTTTCTTAATCAGTTTTAGGGATACTTAAAGCATAGTTCGAAATTAGAGTTGACAGTTTCAAATACAAACCAACCAACAGTGTAATAAAATCAATACTTACATTTCCCTTGAGGCCACTATTTACTGTTTGCTGCACCATTTCCTTAATGGAATGGCAGTTATGTTTGCAGAAACCTTCTAAGTACCATTTTATGTTTTAACTAAAAGCAGCTTTCTTGAAGAAGTATGATAAAGAAATTTTTGAGTTACTATTAAAAATTGTCATAACCAGTTAGTGGTTCGTATGAGTGCAGAGAAGGCAGCCTTCCTTTTTATTTTATTTTTTTGATAAACACTATCGCATTTCATAGGGAGTGATATTTTGCTAATAATGGTAATATGTCTTTTATGTCTTGATTATGATGGACATTGACTTAATATTTAAACATCTCGCTATATTTAAACAACTTGCTCCATTTAAATAAACACATTTACAGTTACTAGGTTACATTTCATTTATGGATTGCTTTTGGCAGATAACTATAGAAAAAATTAAAGAAAGGGAGGAAAATAGCCATTTATTTATCTTCACACAGTAAAATTATTGTGTGATTGACAAAGTGATTTACTAATCTCATTTAATGGCTTAGTGTTTCTATTGTAAGAATTGGTCAGTAATTTCACTTTTTGTTCATTATTTTGTGTTGTTTTTTACAAAAAATTGTTTCTGAAAAAATGACTTCAGAATTACAATAGACTATCATTTGTCTGTTCCTTGTTTTACTGTACTTTATATTGCATTTGAAATTGTCTAATATGATATTCTTATGTGAATGCTTTAGGTAGATTTGCATTTTTGAGGATTTAATCAAAGTTAAAAAATCAAGTTATTTCCATATTTGCTTTTGGTTTTGTATTCAAGATAATAACAGCATAAGAATTATTTAAAATGAAAGGGTACTTTTTACCTCCCAGAGGAGTTTATGTGTGGTCAAACTTTGTTTTTATTAGTAATTGTACAAACTAAAGTAGAGAAGTTGTGTGAACAGAATTCCTGGACTTTTTAGAAGACACATTTTGAAACAGGATATTGAAAACAAAGTCCATTGGCCAACTCAAGTCTTTTTACATGATGATGTCAGCAACTATGTCCTGTGATAAAGCTGCAGTATTTTCATGACAAAGAAAAATTCATATCCACATCTTTAATAAATGGAGGAAAAAAAGCGTTGTTAGTAGATTCATCCGTTCCCATCTAAACCTTTGTAGCTTCTCTCAAACTGTAAATATTGAGAGTAAGATCAGAATAAATGTGGTGTTGCATCAAAATTAATCGCTAAAGTTATTACTTACGGTGTCACATGTATTCCACATTCAGGCTTTTCACAGAAAGCTTTGAAGAGCCCTACAGGACCAACCGAATGTAATTGATACAGAATCATTGCTACACAACAGCTGCAGTAACAAGGTGCTGCAGCTTTTACTTTAATCTACCTTTCTTTCTGAGAGTTTATTATGTTTTTGAATTTATTCTTTTGTAGATCTGGGAGCTATCTTTTTTATGGAAATTAATCTTTTTAGAAGATTTGTACTCTCTTTTTCAAACACTAATACATTCATTCAAGTATCCTATTATTCAGATCCAGCTGGCTTTTATCTGGTGATATTTACTTCAAAAAGCCAAGTTAAATGGTATCATAGATTAATTCTCAGGGCACAGAAAAGCTTTCTTAGAGTAAAACATGATTTGGTAATTACTTGAAATATCATAAAAAATCACAGAAAATGTCAAAAATGTGTTGTATAATCCATCATAATAAGAAACTTCAAAAAGTTGTTTCACTGAAGATGTGGTATTCCAAGTCCATCATAAGTTTTTATTTCAGTCAAATATTATATAACGTATAAGTTTGTTTGAGGTTTTAACAAACTATATCATGAATTTTAGTTTTCTGTTGTTTGGTCACACAAAGCAGTGAAACTTCAAAAGGGGCATTATCCACTGCTGTCTCTTACATAAATCAAACTGGAAATAAGACACATTTTACAATTCAATTTAAGATCCCACTGAGACAATAATGTTGCAAGCTGTGCATTTTGCAAAGTAATATAGTAATGTCTAGTTTGCATTTTTGAAAAACCAAATTAATCACACTTTATTGAATACGTTGGAGCAAACCTAAAATTCATCTATTATTAAAAACTTGTGCAACAAACACAAACTATATTTTATACATAAAGGACAAACTCATTTATTCATTAGGATAAAACACTTGGAGTTTGCATTTTGTAACTATGGAAAGAAATGACATTTGCTATTGGGGCTTTTTTGAATTTTTAAAAGCAGTCTATGTGTAGCGACCTGCTTGAAACTTTATTTTAGCATGTTAAATTGTACCAGGTTTTAAGCTTTCCAGATAAAAATAGAAATTTAACCGAAAAACTTTGGGCTATTAAAACAAAAATCATTAAAGTAAGTGATATAATGTGAAGGGACAACTCATACAAATGAAAATAATCACATTGGGTATTATTTTACATGTGAGAAACCTATAATAATATGATGATTTGATGGCTTTGATGAGGAAGAGAAAACTCTTCCTGGGCAGAATGAAGGCTCATCATGCTATTTGATTTTTTCAGGCTGAAGATAATAAGTACTTTCTGCATGTATATATTTTTAGGTATGCAATTCCCTATAGTATTAGATATAAATTATTGTGGTATCTTTTGGAAATTATTGCCTACACGATATATTATATATTGTCATTTTTGAGAGGTCAGTATTGAAGAAAGCTGGTGAATATAAGAATTGTGAATAGTGAAGAATAGTAATAAATAGTGTGTAATACTGTTTCAATGTCAGAGTATTACACTGTTTTCCTATCTGCTGATGTGTATAATATTCTGTTTAATAACAGTTATTTGAAGTGCCGTGTGATATACACTTTGCACCAATAGAAATTGCAATATTAAAGCATATTCCCCAGATTTAATTTTTCTTTAAAAAAGATTGAAGCAACCTTGTTACATTTCATAAACCTTACTATTTAATCCTGAATTTGGGAGGAATATTCCCTTTTTAGCATCTCCAACTGTGTCACTCAGGGAGGGTCTAAAAGTTATCTGTTAACCTGAATCTACCAAGTACCCTCTTGCTTTTCTAATAAGAACTCCACATTGTTGACTCAGTTATTGGTGAGCTGGTACCCCCTGTCAAGAAAGGGTAAATTATATCCCTGTATGTGAAACCTTCCAAACATGATACAGATAGTTTTTTCTTAATTAAAAAAATATTAACTGCAGTATAAAAGGAACTACAGCCAGTAGGTTTAGATATGGAGTAGAGTATGCAGTAACCACTTGTCCTCACCCAACATAATTGTTTTGTCATGGCTGGCTCTGAAAGCCAATTTGTTCTTCAGTCATCTTCTTAGAAAACTCTAATGATAGAGAACACAAGATTTTTTTTTCTATTTTATCAATTTTCCAGTGGCATGAAATATGAGATTCAGGAATCCTGCCCTGGTCATATCAATGTCAATGTGGTGGATGACAGAACTCAGGATGATTATTCCTGATGATGAGTTTCTTCTCCTCCTTCTGACTATCTGATACATCACTTTAATCATATCTCTCCTCTGCCTAAGATGATGACCAAACTCATCATCCTGACATCTGAGAACTTTCATAATCTGGTCCTAGCCTACCTAATTCCTTCTGACTTCTCAGACTTTCCTAATATGTGTTCTCTCCTCTAGTCAATTGAGGTACCCAGCTGTCATCCAGACGCACCGTTTATGTATGTCTTCGCCTCACTGCATGGCCCAGGCAACTCTCTGAACTGGGTGTGTGCTGTTGTGCCGTGGAGAGGACATGGGGCCAAAAGGCCTGCAAACATCTTCCAAATTCAGCTCTTTTTCCAAAAGGCTGTGCGACCTTAAGCACTTAATTTAATCACTCTGAACCTCAGCTTCCTTTGCTGTAAAATGAGGGTATTAGACTTTATGGTGCCATCCTCAGCAAAGTCTTTACCTTATTGCATCATTTTGAAATATATTTTTTTTCCAACACACATGCTTACATGTGCTCAAATACACACATGCACATGAGAAAATTCTTTTTCATCCTTCCATAATTGGCATATAATATTACTTTATTTATTTGTTTATTTTTTCAACCTCCCTGTAGTTTTAATATAAACTCCATGAGGATATAAAGTTTCATCTGCTTTGTCCATTGCTATCTCCCCAGTACTTACAACAGTGCCTGGCACAAAATAGATGTTCGGTATATGCTAAAAAAATGAATGAACAAATGATTTCAATGTCTATTTTGTTCTCTAATATTCTATGATTCAAATATATACAGAAAAATAAACTGTAGGTTGTATTACAAAGTTTAAATGCAATTTCTTGCTCCTTGGCCTGTACACCATAGCATGCTGGATATATATATATATTTAAATTATGTTTTCTGCTCTATTTCTTTGTTTGCTAGTTTATATGACTGCATAATAATCTTAGTCTGATCGTTTCTGTTGTCTTGCCTCCCTAAGATTTCCAATATGCAGGGTTAACTTAATTTTGGCATAAATAAGAACATAAATTGTTTTTCAAAGCCATCTTATTTCTCATCTAAAATTTAAAATTTTATTAATATTAACCTGAATAAATGCACATAATTAAATGATTTTCAAAAAATATTTTTTTTGAAATATTTTTTCAACAGTTCAGTAGAGAACTGTTTCAATAGTTCAAACAGTTCAGTAGAGATTTGACACAGTTCAAAAATTAAGCCAAGTTCTATTCTTAAAGTCTTAATACTTTTGTGAGTTAATTAGATTTAAAATGGATAAATATATTTAAAACACCCATCATAGTAATTTGCACACACAAGTATTAAAAGACAAGTCGTCTTTCCATTATTGTTTATTGGTATGTCCATAACACAATTATGTTTCTTGTGAAATGGCTTAAAGATACTTACACTAAGCGTAAAGTATACTCCAGATGTTTCTTTCTGAAAAGCAACTCTTCATAGGAAGCTCACAGAGCAAAATTTCAAAATCAAAGAAGAAAACAGTTTTTACACAGATCATTTTAACTAAAGGAAGTCCTTAGGTATTTAATTCGTTTTGAAAAATTTTGTTTTAGTCTAGTAGCTGAAGTCTTAAGTGGTTGTTTCATATAAGTTATTTTAATTAAGAGCAACATTTGTTGTAAGTTTAACAAGGTGCATTTACCCAGGCGACCTCAAGTCTTAGGCCAGGCTTATCTAAATGAGAGCATCTGTATATGATGATCTTAATATTCTCTGATGTAATGATGTGAGAGAATGTGTGTGGTAGAACAGGCAAAAAGTAGGAAGTGTGCAATATTTTAACATTGGAGGAAATATTAAAATTATTTAAGACAGTTTGAGATTACAAAGAAAATAACAGATTATAGTAAGTATTTTACAATGGAGAATATTTTTTAGAATCAGATAACGATTCATTGTTAATTAAAGGCCCCCTGGATGATGATGATTCTTATTATTATTTGAGACAGGGTCTTGCTCAGTCACCCAGGCTGGAATGCAGCGGCATGGTCATGGCTCACTGCAGCCTCTGCCTCCCAGGCTCAAGCAACGCTCCTGCCTCCCAAGTAGCTGGGACTACAGATGTATACCACCATGTCCGGCTAATTTTTGTATTTTTTGTAGAGACGGTTTCCCCATGTTGCCCAGGCTGGGCTTGAACTCCTGAGTTCAGGTGATCTGCCTACCTCTGCCTCCCAAAGTGCTGGGATTACAGATGTAAGCCACTGTGCCTGACCATGGAGATACTTATTTTTAATAGGTAGATTTCTCTCACACTGAAAGTATTTAAAATTCAGTAGCTTTATTACTATTATTTCTAGATAACGATAATTTGAATACATGTTATTTTTGTAAGTTGAGGATTTTAAAAAATCCTATTTCTTTGACCATTTTAGAAAAGATGCCATATTTCATCATTCATTATTTATTTTTTACCAAGGCATGTACCTTCTTAATATTGATGTTGGGAAAAATTTTTGCAAAAAAGAAACAAAAATGAATGTGACTGATTTAGCTAAATGCCATCCTGAGTTGTTGTCTTTTCTAAACTTAAACCTGTGTTTAGCACTCGAGTCAGACATTGAATCATTGTGTAACTTTACCTAGGTTCATACCCCCTTATATTCTTCATTGGTCACATTATGGTTACAATAATTAAATTAGATCATTTTTAAAATAAAAAGAATAAAAATGTTTAAATTTTACTTTATATTTGCCTATGAAGATTGATATTTTGAGAAAATAAATCCTTATTTAGAAACATAGTTTTTAACCCTCTTTCTTATTCTAACTCTCATTGTCATGGCAATCTACAGAAGAGTTTTATAACCATTTATTCTTGGGATAAAAATGAGTGCTTGTATTTTCCCCAAATTGGAGTATAAAGGTAAAAATAAAATTATCTGTATTGCTGCTGATCCTAAGTATTCTTTCCATTGCCAGCAGCCAAAATTTTATTGGTCCTTTTGACCTTGAAAACCTCCTCTTCTGAATGCCTATGAAAAACTGATGAAAAGTGCTTCGAATAGAATGTCTTTACTATGTATAATAGAAGCTATGGTCAGAATGATTTGGTTTCATATAAACAGTAGCTTTCAACAAGTCTGCCATCTGCATGTAATCTACCCTATAATATAATATTATTTCAATGGTCCTTCAAATATGCTGAATTCTTTTCTGTTATATGCAGTACCTCTATTTAAAGGCAGCCATCTCCATGTTTTTAAGATGAACTTTGTAATTACTGGATATCCTAACTGATTATCATATTACAAGTTGGACTAATGGCACATTTTGAAATTATTCTTAGTTGTGTCTATTTGGTTTTGTCTTTCTTTAGGCTGTCTACCTTAAATAGTAGTTAGGATTGTTAAATCTTTAAATTCAATCATAATGTGCATTCATTCATTGTTAATTGAGGGCCTAAGATATGTCAGGCATTCATGTATTCGTATTGATTATCTTATTAAAAAGAATATTTTAGCTTAGAAGTAAGTGGAGAAACTTGAATATTATAAAAATGCATTAATACAATCATTTGTGCTAAGAATTTATTATAATCTGTGTAACTTGTATTAAACTATAGGAGTCACATACCAATATTTGCTTATTCTTGCTCAGCTCTTCAGGATTAAAACATTATGCAATTTGGTTTATTTGAGACTTATTCTATGGTTTATAGTAGAAATACACTTTTGGTAGCAATACCTTTATTCTTTCCATATCTGCTTAAAGCATCATGGCTTAATCTACTATGTACAAATTAATGACTTCCAAATCTTCCTCACTGGGCATCTCCTTTTCTTCCAAATTTCAGTCCCATATTTATAATTCCCTGTTGTCAATCTCTGCATGACTATTACCGAAACATCTCATATTCAACCAGTCCAATATTGAACTGAATTTTATTTATCGTAAAATCTGATCTTTATATGGGTGATAAAAAGCTTGGATTGTGAATTCAGAGTTAGGATAATGAATATAAAAGCTTAACAAAATGCCCAACACATTTTAAGTACATGATATATACTAGATGCTATCATCATCATTATTGCCTCCTTAATAATGCCACTATACAACAATTGTTAATCTAGATGCTGAATTCATCTTTCATATTTTACTCACTTTATCTCCATTTATATCTCAATAGTTACTAAGTTCCATTAAGCTTATTTCCAAAATGTTAAACATATTACCATTCTTTATCTTCTCTATCTTTAATTACAGTTAAGAATAATAATTAGGGCTGGGCGCGGTGGCTCATGCCCATTATCCCAGCACTTTGGGAAGACGAGGCGGCAGATCACGAGGTCAGGACTTCGAGACCAGCCTGGCATTGTGAAAGCCCGTCTCTACTAAAATGCAAAAATTAGCTGGGCATGGTGGCGTGTGCTGTAGTCTCGCTACTCTGGAGGCTGGGCAGAAGAATCGCTTGAACCCAGGAGGCAGAGGTTGCAGTGAGCTGAGATTGCACCACTGCTCTCCAGCCTGGGTAATAGTGAGATTCTGTATAAAAAATAATAATAACAATAATAATTAGGCAAATACATGTTATTATATGTGCATGTGCCTCTCCTGCATATCATAAGCTGCTCCATAACAAAGGCTGTATCTGAACGCTTTTATTGCCACAATGATACTTACCAGATGTAAATGTGAGAATTGGTCTGGATTTGAAGCTCTCAGCTCAAAAACTGATTGAAAGTTAGTCTTACCTTATTTATTTCTGTGGATACAATGATGAGAGAAAAAAAAAAAAAGACACAGGCTTGACCACGTGGAACTTACATTAAGACAAACTTTTAAAATATTTTTCTTAATAACAATGGGAAAAAAATGAAGACCCCTAATCAGGGGAGTGACAGTGTAAGATTTGTAATTAAAAGTAGTGGTCCTAAATTTGATTACAGCAGCTGAGGTAAAAACAGACAAAATAGAGATGAATAATAGAGATGAAATCAATAGGACATGAAAAAGGAGTTGGGCGCTGCTGGTGCACAGGAAGAGATGAGCAGATAAAGTGGATTCCTAGGTTCCTGGCTTATAAAACTCGCCGGTGATGTCCTTCTTTGAGGCTAACCAGGTTTAGGAAGGAGATAAATTAATACTTAAATCCATACATATAAAATATCAAGACAATTGCCAAAACATACCATCTCACTTGTGAAGGTTTTATGCTTTTTGGAAAATTCAATAGCAATTTTCCTCAAGTGGGAAAAATGTTTTCAATTTCAACACAAATAATTGAAAACTGATAACATTGTATAAAACCATGAAAATTAAAACTTATTTCACCTTGCCATGGGCAACATTTGTACATGAGCATAAAAACATTAATAATATATACTTTGACATTGATTACCCCACTAACAATCTATAAAATATAACTCACCATTTTATTTAATGTGATTATAAATCCATAGGGAAATTACAATATCCTTAGAGAAAGAATTTCTAGTTCATTGGTTTACCTAACAGAAGAATAGTATGGTGAGGTAAAGTTAGAAAAAGTAGAAATTCATTAACATGGCAATAAGAAAGGCTAAAAGATGGAAAGCAAAATTAGCATAGATACTTTATACCAAACTGCTTTATTTTGAAGAACTGTATGAATAAGTTTTAGATAGCAAAGTGTGTATGAACATTGTGTGGTCATTTCTACATTGTCCTTTATCTGTAATCAAATTATACTTAAGTTGTAGAAATTAACCAGCTTTTTTCAGTCTCATTTCCACTGACTAGCAACATTTGGCTCTTGCTTACAATCAGCTTATAGTCTGTATTTACAAGACACCCAAATATGTAGTCAATACAAATCAATCTGGCTACTAATTTTTTCTTATACAAAAATCTATGTAACTATTTACCCAGTCTGCATTTCTTTGTTTTACCTTGGTGTGTGGATCTATTTTCCCTGGTTAACACTTACAGCATGGTGCTAATGAGTCCAAAGAAAACAATGGCATCAAAAAACCAGTGTTTTCTGATATAGTTATCTCTCTCTTCTGCACATATAGTATTTTACCTTTTATCTTTATAATTATGACCCTACTTCTTTTAGTTTGAGTTGCATCAAAACTTTCTGAAATTTACTACGACATAAGGAAAAATACATGAAGCATTGTTATTTATATATAGAAATTCATTTAAATAAATTTTATGAGTTCCAAAATGAAAGCTATTTAAAATTGAAACCATTGTCTATTTTCAGCTTCCTAATGCTATTTTTGTTTTTCATAATTATCCAGTTTCTCAGGATAAAGAAGCCATTGTTTTTAGTAATGTCTGCCTGTTCATTAAGTATCGTTTCATCTTACATTAGTCACTTGGATATCAGATCTGATTTTACGGTTTGTTTCCCGTTCTCTTTAGTTCAATAATCATTGGCCGTAGTAAAGAATATTCAGCCAAAATTTAAAAATAAGCAGTTCTAGTTTCCATTAATTTGTGTGTGCTTTGTACAACTTCACTTATTGTTACTTTCAGCACCATTGTGGAGTATATAGGGCAATACCAATATCTTAAGTAGGTGAAGAAATTTAGAATTAACAAAGTTTTGATGAGTCCAAGAACACTAATAGCATCAGTATTATGTTATAAACAATGCATACAAAATAAATATATCAAAACAGCTCTGCATTCAAAAGAAAACATCATAGGTAAGATAAAAGTCCCCTGGTATGGCAAGAGTTTCACATTCCTAATTAACTATATCTGACATTCCAGTAACACAGGGTAAGATTTAGTTAGTGATAGATAACTAAAGAAAAATATCTAATTATTTATGGGAAAGTAACATATTTTCCTAAATGATATATTTATAGGTAATGGGGCAGTTAGAATTTATAACAACATTATTTTTCTCTCAAGAAAAAAATAAATTGATGTAAGAATATTAAGCCAAGCAGAATTGGTTACATGAAAGACAACCAGTTCTTTTTTTACCCAGAACCTCCAAATCAAACATGATAAATGTGCTGACCTACTCTGCGGACATTATTTTGCAATACCAGTTAGGAGGCACTTGTGGCATTTTCTTTGCTAAACCACTACACTTAAAACAGGAACATTTTAAACTGTGTCCCTAATTAATTATATCCCTAGAAGATTTCTTCTTTTCTCATTTTAGTAGTGTGATAAAGTCAAACCAAAGCATCAGGAGATTTCAGTGTTTTTATATCCTAAAGTAGATCAACTGGGATTAAATAGTTATTCAAAAGAATACCTAAAGACTATATTACAATAACTTTCATGAAAGGACTGTTTCCGCAACTCATGCAAAATAGTAGCATTACTGCTGACGTTTTATATCATTTTTTTAATAGAGTGAACTTAATCCACTAAAAGATAATAACTTGTTTATTCTCTCACCTACCTCTGAAGTAACAGCTGAACATCTGTAGCACCTGTGACTAATATTTACTTTTATTTAGAAGTTTTGTTTTCGTTGTTAAGATGGAGTTGACGTCTTTCTAAGTGGTCTCCAATGGTATGGAGTAAATGCCTGCTCTTGCCGTCATTTTCATTGTAAACAAATCTTGACAATGTCAGGTTCCCGTCACAATCTATCAGTGTCACTCAATAAGCAGTGGTGTGACCGTTAGTCCCTTTGCGATTTGCCTCCTTTATCAGGGTCAGCCTGTGGGAAAATCTTAACAAATAGTTACATGTCACCTAGGTATAAATGATAGTAATACAGTAGTCAAATATATTTTTACTATTTTAATGCAAGTAATTTAAAAGGCATTTATATTTTACAGATCACTTTAGTTTTGTGTTTATTTTATGTGTCTTCTATCTAAAATGCATAGAAATACTGTGGACTTCTCTTTGGGAACCTGTTTCTCGTTGGATATATTTAGGAATGAAATGAACAAATACATGAATATGTATAATTATTTGGACTAAGACTATAATTGGTGCCGTGCGTACACACACTCAAAATTGTTATTGTGTTTTTAGTAGAGAAACTAAGAATATCTTTGTCCAAAACATTTTTCATTCCCTTTCCTACCTAAAAATTGTGCTTCCCTTTATTTCTGTTTATTCTTTCCCTTTATTTCAGTTTATTTACAAGAACCAGTTACTAAAATTTGATTTATAATATAGCCATATTTGTTATTCATTTTCTTGTGTATGTTTATGTAACAGGATATTAAATACAATTTTTCCTGTGGTCTCCAACAAGAACAAAAGGTGTCAGGTACCCCTCATTTTAAAGAAAGTAAAAAACAATTGTGCTTATTATAGCAACTGAATCAGCATTGCTGTCTTAACTATCACTCCAGACTCCATGAACAACCACCTTCTTCCTTTCTAAGAATGGACCACACTCATTTATGAACACTCATTTATAAAATGGGATTTGAAGAGATCATTCTAGTGAAAGGACAGCAACTGACAGGTATGGCTGTGGTTTAGTAATTCCTCTTTGGGCATGCTTCCTCACTGAGAAGGTCAAGGGAGGAAAATTCCAACAGAATTACTCAAGGATTGCGGATGTTTCCACCTCGTTTGGTAGCTAGATTTCTGCTTAAGTGTGAACTGCTGATTGGGAGCAGGGGTTGGAGGTGGTGGTAAAGAACTGAGGAGAAGGGAGCAGGCTGGAGAAAGTGGGCATCAGAACAAGAGGACTTACACCAGCAGGAGGACCTTAGTATCAAGAGGCAATGGGAGTTTAAGGAGCTTAGACGATCATGAAGCTGGAGGAGAGTCTACTGTGAGGGACTTGTGCAGTTAGGAAGTTCCTCAGTAAGGATTCCCTTGAAGGATCAGACATTACCACCATGGAAATGTTTAGATTTAGGCCTTTACCACTTGGAAGATGTCAATGGCCTAAAGGAGTAGCCACAGAAGTTGTGGTGCAGGGGAAATTTAAGCAGGAACCATTTAAGCAAGAGACATTTATCTTATTACCCAGAAGAAGGAGAAGAGGAAGACAGGATGGTTGAAAAGCTGAGCTAGCTTCTGTCTTCTAGATACCTAGACTCTAGAAATGGCTAATGCTAGTGGGGATGGGGAAGCAGAGATGACAGTTAACTAGAGTGGATTTATTATACTCAAAATCTGCTCAAGGCTCTTAAGGGACAGAATAGGGAACCTTGACAAAGCTTTTTTGAAGGCAGTAATTAGAGGAAAACGAAAACCATTTTATATTTGTAACCCATCATTTCTGACTATTCAATAATCTGGTGCCCTTAGAGTAGAGATGGCTTTCACAATTTAGGGATATATTTCTGCATTTAAAACCTGGTCCATCTTAAAAGATGTATCATAAAATGCAATAAAAATATCAAGTGAGGGTGAGCCAAGGAAAATAGTCTGAGCCCATGAAGACTAAGACATTGCATCAAACTTATTTTTCAGAAGCTTTGTTTTAATGTTGTAATGGGGAGGCACTAAGCGGGGAGAGGACCTCCCACACCTACTCCTTACATATTTGAATTTTAGTTACACTAAATCTTGAAATAACCTTGCTTGTCCCATCTTTTACACAGAAGAAAATCTAAACACACACAGTCACTCTTTATATATAAATTCCATATATTTAAATATGTAGTTATTAGTATATTCTTAATAGCAGTTAAGTCAGTTTTTTCTGTTTCTGTCTTCCCCTGCCAAATGTTAGAAATTTCTTATATATTGAATCTGCTGCTGTTTCTTGCAGTCTTAATAGTAAATATGAATTTTAAAGGTATTTATGTGTGTATATATGTTTGTGTGTTAAGCATAGTGCATATATACTGGTTTATATCGTGCTAATATATTGGCTTAAAATAAAATTGTGAAAATATGCACTTAATAACTGTGGGCAGGTCTTGTTCTGAAGTGGCCTATTTTCAATTCTTATTTATTCATGCTAATAGAGGAAAAGGATGTTATAAATAATGCAAAAATCACTTACAGCTGACTTGGTTACATATTGTATATTTTTCATCAGACTTAGTTTCTTAATTGTTTGCTCTATTTATTACCCAAATGAGCTAACATCATGAGTATTTAACAAATGATGATTGGCGGAGATGGCTAGAAGCATTCTATGTAGTGAGAAAATCTAATATAGTATTAGAAACTTACTAGAGAAAATTCACATATGAATGCTTGATATTTACCTGTGCACAAGGGACTGATATCTGTGACGCAAAAACAGATGTGAAAATGGGTAGTGTTTTATCTGTAGTTTTCAGAGTGATTTAATCAGAATTTTAAGATAATATTTTGTACCTTAATAATGTGAAAAATAGAGTTATTGTGCATCTCTACTGATATGAGTGAAATTTAAATATATTTGCAGAAATAACTATTTCCCATTTATTTATTTATCGTGGCAGTAAGGACTTCAATAAAAGAGGAAATTAGTTTAAGTGAACAGAAAAAAGTAGATTATAGCTGTAAATGGAGCTCAAACTGAATCCAAAATAATGAATGTATATTTTTCCACTCCATATTTTAGTTAATTATCTTCAAATATGCACTCTACTATGAAAATGTAATCGTTACATTTGTTGAAGATTTTAAATGAAGTATAAAATATAGAGAAAATTACTTATTATTTCTAAATTTCCAGGGCAATTTCTATATTAAAATAATATTTATTCCAAAGCATGATTTCTATATCCCGATAGTCAGTTTTAACTGATAACATACAAGGTAAAATCAATGCTGAATCATAACATTTGACCAAATCAAATCCCACAGATTTTGTGAATTAAGCCTATAATAAAAAAATTGCATGTACTTTGATAAAGGCAATGTAAAGAGCAGATGTTTAAAATGTGTTATAATCATAATCTCTTGATATCATACATTTGAAAAATTCATCTATTTATAGTGCTTGCGTGTTTGACTAGTACCTAGGGATAAGTGTCAAAAAAGTTATGAGAACAGAAGTAAGGTGTATAAATTTGTGAATATGAAAAGAACTTTTATATCACAGTGTAGGAGCAAGCTGGAGAAATTTCTTTTATGTAAGTCATTTCTGTATGAAGCTATAAACTTTTTTTTAAACCAAAAGCTGTCATGGTTTCTTGTAAAATAATAAAGATAATAAAGATATCCATTTTAATTGATTCTTTTCATTGTTTAATAAAATTGCTTTGTTTGATTGCTGAAGAATTTGAATTGAGTTTTCATTACCCACTTCTGAACACTTTACTCTAAGATCCAGACAGTATTGAGCTAATTAGTTTGAATTTATATTGAACCTTAACTGTCTTCATGAAGTAAATGGAAAAAAATCATGGCAGTAACTAAGTATTCTTCATTAAAAACTATGTCGTAGAGATTTTACAATGAGGCTTTTAGCAGAGCTAAAGCATTAAATTGGAGTTTTACCAACTTTGTTGTTTCTATGCATATTATATGAAAATATGGTTTCTTTTTTTAAGAAATAAAAAAGTCATGAGCTGATAGGGATATTACAGAAATTTCCTCTAAGTGGATAGTTTGTATTTTCAACAGATTCAGTTAAGGAATAAATTAATGTTAAATTAATTTAATTTGGGAGCACATCTAAATTGAAATGATTTATAAACACCTTCCAAGGAGTGTTCTAATAAGGTATTTCATGATCTTTTTAAATCTAAGGCATTGCTACCAATATTGAAATGCAAGCCCTCAGTTGAGTGGCATTGACATGGAGACATAATGTATGTTTCTCTTTATTTGAAAACAAGTGATGTATTTATTCACACACACATGCATGCATATTTAATTTTTGCTTTGGCATTATATTCTATAAAGTGATCTTTTGTGTTCTCTGTACAATGTCTAACCAAGCTGGACGTTTAATGGCTTCATTTTTTGGATTTGCTGTGTAATGAAGTTAGGCACTTTATGTGATGGCTAGGATGTCATTTCATGCAAGAATAACTTTGCATTCTATAAATATTAGTGTGTTTCAGTTCCAAGGAGTAATTAATTATCTGGTTAATATAATAGAGACCATTTCATATTAAGCTGGATAGCCGAACAGTATTAGACTCCACCACTAGGTTAAATGTTGCCGGAATATATATTTTTTTAATTTTGAGATCCTATACAAGAAATAGAAAATCAAAAAGAATGTGCAGCTTAGGGGAAATTTACTTACCTCGGCTTATTTCCCTAGAAATCAGTTTTCCAACTCCAAATGTGATACATTTTTTAAAAAACTCATTTTAAGTTAGTCATTGGAAGATTTGGAATAATATTATATCCAAGTAATTTATATTCATTCCCCACAGGCAGCAGTGATGGTTCCTGGGATAAGGAAACACTGCCCTCTTCCCCATCCCAGGGACCTCAGGCCTCTATAACCCACCCCCGCATGCCTGGAGCACGTAGCCTTCCACTTAGTCATCCTCTCAACCATCTTCAGCAGAGCCACCTTCTGCCAAATGGTACGATGGCATTCTTTAGTATTAAAAATCATAGTTTTTTTTAAATTGTATTTATCAGTTGGCAAAATAGGACATAATAAAGAGATATACTATATTTACATAGCTAATTGGGATAAGTTAAAGAAAACCCTAGTATTTTAAGCAAGATTCAGACTGATTATAGGAATAATATAGCAAAGAATTGACCATTTGTATTAAACACAGGATAAGTTAGGAAATGATAAACCAGGGCACCAAACCAGATAGCTGTAAGCCTGGTTTCCCTGAGTAGTAAGTGAAATTTTTGCATATGAAGAGGAAAAATATTGTTTCTTTGACTACCATTATTAGAAAACTTTTGACTGTTTCAATTTTTAATGATTTATGTCCTCCAGAGCAATGATGATATATGTGCATTTTTTATAGGACTGGAACTTCCTTTTATGATGATGCCCCACCCTCTAATTCCTGTCAGCCTACCTCCAGCATCTGTCACCATGGCAATGAGCCAGATGAACCACCTCAGCACCATTGCAAATATGGCAGCAGCAGCACAAGTTCAGAGTCCCCCATCCAGAGTTGAGACATCAGTTATTAAGGTAATTCTTTTTTTATACAATTATTTTGGCATGTTCATCTTAAGCCACCATCCCTTAATCCATTTTTCTTATTCCATAAGTACATCTGAACTCTAAAAAGCTAAGTGATAGTAAATAGACTATTAAAAAAAATCACTTGTAGCAAATGGCCCCAGGGGCACATTACTTAGGCAGGCTAGGGTTGCTTTAAATTCTCTATATATCTATTAAGATAGAGAAAAACATAGGACATTAAATGTTATAGTTCAAATTGTGTGTGTTCTTACATAGGTAGTTGTGTGTATGCGTGTGTGGTGTTATGAGCATTTATGTGTGGAGAATCAGAAGACCAGAAGGGATAAGTTTTGCCACTTCCTAGCTCTGTCACCTTAGACATGTAATTCAATCTTCCTGATTCTAGTAAATATCTAATAAAGGCATAATCCAGTGTGGATTATGTTGTAAAAACTAAATGAAGTAATAAAATTGGAAGTTTCCATAAATTCAAAAATACACTAAATTAAAGGTAACATTATTGTTATATAAACTTCATATGTGCATATATACACAATTCCGTCTCCTCTATCCCTGTGTATCTGTGTGTGTATGTTTGTGCATCGTATGTGTTATATATGTAAATATGTTTTACTTTCATATTATTTTAAAATGTGTACTTAAATCAAAATATTTTAACTGCGTTGTCTGGCTAAGGAGTAAGAAATAACAAAAAATTAAGAATAGATTATTAATTTTTAAACTAAGTACAAGATATTTTATGCTGCATGATCATTATTTGACATTACAATTATCCCATTTTTCTGAATACAATACACTTAAATTTAGGGTATCCTCTGGAGCACATCTTATATAAACGGCCCTGTTCAGATCACAAGGTCAGAAGATCGAGACCATCCTGGCTAACATGGTGAAACCCCGTATCTATCAAAAATACAAAAAATTAGCCAGGCGTGGTGGCGGGCGCCTGTAGTCCCAGCTACTCGGAAGCCTGAGGCAGGAGAATGGCGTGAACCCAGGAGGCGGAGCTTGCATTGAGCTGAGATCGTGCCACTGCACTCCAGCCTGGGTGACACAGTGAGACTCCGTCTCAAAGAAAAAAAAAAAAAAAAAAAGGCCCTGTTACTACTTACATACAATGTGGAGTAACATACAAATAGGAATTGTTCTTATATTAATGGCTCTAAAAACAAAGATGTATCCCAGATGCTTTGGTCATTTTCTGTAGTATCAATACCAGAGGAAAAAATAACCAAAAGTCTCACAGAAGACCTGGATCAACTACTCAAAGATCACCACCTCAGAGAGCGCCAGTGAGTGCCACATTGTTATCAGCCAAGGAACTGATAAAAAGACCTTTGAAAACTCTTCTCTAAGAGGGATATTGTTACCAGATTATTCAATAAGCAAGATATCACCGTATTGTTAAATTTATGATGATGTTAGGTAATAGGTATTATTGAGAATTCAGCACTCTGATTGCCTCACTCATTAAAGTTATCTAGAAGAGGAGTTTGGCGGAGGGAAAAACCCATTTAAGTCTTCCCATCATTGTAGTCAATGGCTACTTTAAGCAAATATTACAAGGTACTAAGTATTAATGTATACGATGTGATTATTCTCATTAAAAAAATCTGGTCGTGATTACTATAAAGAATCATCTCATAATATTAATTATGTAATTTTTACTTTTAAAACTGGTAACTAAAATCTCTCATTTAGGTAAGATTTACATTAATAAATAAGGCAAACATATTACAGAAGAGCAGCTTTTAGCAGTTTAAAGTCATAATGGGTGTCTAAATTATGGCCTGTAGCTAATATTTGCATGAGGGATGGCTTACATATTCCTGCATCAAAAAGCCTTTATTTATATCAGGATACTTGATTTATTTTATTTTGCAATATACACATATTTTAAAAAATAGTTGTGCTACTTGTTAATTAGAATACTTAGGGGATCTCCTTTTAATACATACTTGGTTGTCAGAGTTTAGATAAGTAGGAGGAAGAAGTTGAGTTTCCTCTGGAAGAAGTCTATAGAAAATAATTCAGGACTCAATGATTGGGAAGTCAGAAACATTCCTGTGTTTTCCTAGATTAAGTTTAGGAATGGAAAGGAGGGGGATATATGGAGAAAGGAAGAAAATACACAAAAAGAGAAGAAAGTGAGGTCGTTTTATGTTTTAAGATATGTGCCAACACCTACTAAGTCATAGAGATATCTCACTTCTTCTCCTGTTGCAAATATTTTCAGAAACTTGGTTACATGCAGATTAAAGGGAGTTGTGGATTTTGAAAGTGTTGATGTAAATGGTAATAGTAGCAGCCAAATAGGGAACAATGGCTCTAATTGAGAATGATTACAAAAAGTAAAATCTGATAGTTTTTATTGCCAACATCAAAGTGAAGTTCAATTGGCTGTTGTGGAAGGGCTGAAAGGCCCATTTTTTATCATGGTGCCCTTATTATTTTGTGAGACAGGCCATTTGTATAGCTTCGAATTTGACACTGACAGGTAAAGATTATTGAAAGTAAACACATTTTAAGAAAGGCATGAGACGATTCTAAGCAGTTATAGATGCTTAAAGACATCCACATAACCTGATAAAAATCAAGTGAGTGTCCTCAGAGAATAAGGGTGAGGAATAGGTCCTCCAAGAAGTTCTAAGTATTAGAGAGGAGAAGTTAACAAATCAACCTGTCTAAATGTATATATTGGTTGACTGTATAGAACAAGAAGAGTTTATAAACTCACCTAATAGATGTTAATTAAGTTTAGTTTTGGGGAAGTTTTTATTTTCCTCAAAGAAAACAGCTGACTCCTATGTCACCTTTAACAGTATTGGACACGTGGATAACTAGAATATGGACTACACATTGGTTTGTCTGGGAAGATTCTATTAATAAGTGTGAAAGTCTGTTGCAAGTGACGTGTTAAATGTCATAGAAGATTGAGCCTGTATGACGGAATTATAAAGCAACTGGAGAAATAGTCTTTAAACAGAAAATAGAACTTTGAGAGATGTTCTAAATGCTGGAATATACCATTTACATTTTTTAAGAGTAATGACAAGACTTAAAATTAAAACTCAACCTAAATGCAAATGGCAATAACAATTTGTAGGACAAAAGAGAAGCAAAAATACAGCTTTCAGAGTTATATATTTTAAAAATATTCTTTGTTTAGCTGTTTCTATGAAGTAAAGGAGCTCCAAAAGTTTTTTCATTAACATATCAATGCCAGTACATGAAATGGAGCAGGGTCTGAATCCCCAAGCTGCCAACGTTGGGTGAAATCTATTCTGCTGCTGGTTTTCATGGCCTGTGAGTTAAGAATGGTTTTGCATTTTTAAGTGGTTGGAAAAAAATAAAAAGAAAAATATTTCATGACACATGAGAATTATATGAAATTCAAAATGTAGTGTTGGTAAATAAAGTTTTTTCTGGGGACAGAGCCATATCTAAATTTATGTAATGTCTATGGCTATTTTCACATGCAAAGACAGAGTGGACTAAAATACTTGCTGTTTGGCCTTTTACCAAAAAAGTTTGTCGATACCTGTGTTAGACCTCTGATTATCCCAAACCCACATGAATCTCAGACTATGGAAAACTGAAGCAGCTCAAACTAAACTCTCAAACACAATAGAACCAAGTAGAAAAAAAAATTAAAATAATTGAGAATTTAGGGTTGAAAGAATTAAATGCACTGAGGAAAAGAAAACTAGATAGATGAAGACTTTCCCACTATGGCATTGTTATTTGCTTTACATGCAAGCGTTCATGAGAGAGTCTGCTAAAGCCTTGAACTTAGACTTTCTATGGCTGGTTGTATTGAGTATAATCAAGATTATTTTGAGGAGGAAATTGACATACTCTTTAGACAATAATAGGTCTAATTGAAATTCCTAGTTGTGTGGATATATGCACAATTTCCTCTCCTGTCTCTCTCTCGCTAAATATCTGTGGGGATATATTAAATAATTATAAACTGTACCTGTATTAATTTCTTATGTGTCAATGATACCCATATACTTTTTCTGTTTAGCATTCATAGAACATAAAGCAACTTAGACTTGAGATGTTATGTAATTCAGCTTCCCCCATAATGGAGAAATAATTCCCACATCCTTCTTATTCATTTTCATATATCTAAGCTTTTGTAGGATGCCTAATCTATTTTCAGCAGATTTAAGAGTGAGAAGTATATTCATTAATCAAATTAAAATTTGCATCTCAATAGCTTCTACCTTAACTTTGTTATATTTTATTTGAAGAAAAATGTCTACTAATTCTTCTAGGTTCTAGCCATTTCAATATTTAAGCCCTCTGTTTTAGTGCCTATAGTGTTTCTGTTTTCTAGGCCAATTATTCTAATTTGTTCTGACTATTCTTCATCTTTTTGGTTGCCTTCTTTTTATTGAAGTCACCCTCTATCACACCATACTCTAGAAGTGAATTGTGCAATGAAGAGACACTAGACATCAACCTCAATTTGGACAATAATCTATAAATGTAGTCATAGTTCCAAAGATTTTGTTTGGTAGTTGAATGTCTGACTCAGTACATTTCATGCCTTTCTGACATAAAATTCTGTTAAGCCAGTTTTTCTTCATCTTTTATTTGTGTTAGGAATTTTTATTTATCCACATTAAGATTTTTAGTTTCCATTCCATTGATTTAGGGTCTTCAGATACTTTGGAGTATTAACATCCCAGACTATCACATTAGCTATTTATGCCACCTTTGTATCATTTCCAAATTTTAAAAGGATGTATTCCTTTATTACGTTAAACGACTGAGTAAAATAAACAATATAAATCAAGAGATCAATTTCTCTTGTCATTGGAGAATTCCTAATAAGTTGAAATGTTCTATTAATTGATTCTCTTAGGTATCATTCATTATGTAACCCAAAATTCTCTTGAATGAATCAATATTTTTCTCAGTTTTTATTTAATAAATTCACAATGTTATAAAGATTTTGAAAAGGGCGTACTTGCTGAAATAGAAGTAATAGTGAAAGGAAGAAACGCAGCATATTTTAGTGATTTAAGGCATGTGTTCTGAAAAAAGACTACTTGGATTTGCATTTCGACTTTATCACCTCCAACCAGTGTGACCATAGACAAATTATTTAATATATTTGTATTTTATGTAATAACAGCACTACCCCATTAGGTTGTCATAAAGATTAAATTACTATTTATTTAATCTTTGGAAGTCTTTATATACCAACATTATTTTCTTCTCATTACTATTTTGTTTTCTCTCCAAGTATCCAAAATCATTTGTTTAAAAGTAAGTTCTAGAATTTTGCAGGGAATCCCTGTCAAGCCTGTGAAATATAGTCATACTTCTATGGTGAGACCTCTGTCTCTCTGACTTTCTATTTTTTTTTGTTCTGCTCATTTTACCTAATAAAAATTTTATACGCAGCTTTATTTTAATCAGGACTTTTGGGTTTGTAGTGCATAGTATGCAAAGCAGATTTTTAAATGCATTTTAAGATTTTTTTCAGAGATAACATAGAACTGTTTTTGAGAAATATGATGACATTCAAATTACCCTACATTGTTGGATACACATCTTTCTTCTTATGACACATTACAGTTTTCTGAAAATAGGGAATATGACTTAAATTCGTTAATTTTCTTTGCTGATCTGTTATGTGTCTCTGTGTGTGTCTGTGCATGTGTGTGTGTGAGAGAGAGACTTTGTGACATTCTCATTTAAAGAATTAAACATTGAAAAACGCTGTTTATAATTGTACTCATACTTTAAAGCAAGTTCTTAAAATACTGTATTAGGAAACAGGATGTTACTTGCATGAAGTTTAAAATGTGAAAAGATTATAAAAACTACAACCAGAGTGACCTAATTCACAAAGTAGAGTGAATCTTAGAGCAATGTGACATCATATACTTCATGTTGGTTTTTAGTTACAGAATAGTTTATTCTTTGTACAAACATAAAAATCTCCAAGTGTATGCAGAGCTTTTAGACATAAATTTTTTTCACAAAAATTTATTTAATTTTACTTGGTTTTAAAAAATAATAAGTATGTTCTCTTTAGGTTTATTTGAATATTGATATTAAATATGAAAAAAGATGTTAACCTAAAAAAGAAAGTATTACAACACAACCACCACTAATGAAACATCTAGGCCTTGAAATACATCACATGTTTAAATGCTTGATTTTATAATAATACTAAAAAAGAAACTCATTGTTCACATTTGGAGAATTTGGGGGGAACTGATGTTTTTAAAGGACAATAAAGGCTTAAAGATAAATACATGGAAGGGATCAAGCATTTTTCCTGCCTTTTCCATAAAAACTGATCCTAAGAATAACCAAATGATTCATGAGGTAACTTTGTGATCATAGAAACCTTCTAGAAAATAAGTGTGTAGGAAATTACAAGCCCTAATGAAGTGATGAATTGCGACCATGATCATCAGTGGTGGCTGGCATCATAAAAGGCAACCAAGCAGACATTATGCTCATTATAGAAGCTTGCAACACCATCTATGAAGTAGTCGTACCCCCACATCAACTTGTACCAAGCCTCCAGAGGTAACTATGCAGGAAACTCAAGGGTCAAAGGAACATTGGGATGAATTAGACTCATCAAGGGAACTGCAGATGAGAGGCTCATAGTGGTGGTGGTGGCCTGTAAGAACATACATTTGTTCCTTACTAAGTTAAACATTGACTTTAAACATTTACCATGCAGGAGAGATTGATGCCAGTTAAAGGCAATGCTGGTCAAATCAGCACTTACCTTTTTTTCCTTGCTGTTCTTCCTTCATCTCTATATCCCTTGGCTGTAGTAAAGAAAGAAGTCCTACCTTTTAATTAAGACGCCAGTATTCATTGTCAGATGGTGCTGAATTATAATTCCTGAGTCAAGATTTTATTTTGCTGCTTAAAGCAAATTTATATTATCAAATAGCAACCTAAAAAGTTACAAGGCTATGTGAATTTTCATACACACTTGGGAAAAATATAGTCCCCTACCACCAATGAGTAAGTTCAAAAAGACAACAGGAGAATAAAGTTAAGTTGTTTCAGATTATATTAAGTTGTTTCACGGGGTCTTGCCAGTTTCATGTTTAGAAAACTTGAGTATTTATGGAGTTCCATAATCAAAGTTTTTTTTTAAAGCTATGTAAATATTATTTGGGGCTTCCTCAGCTATGGAATCTTGATTTGGGCTGCCTGGTCCTCAACTAGGTGTAAGCATGCTAACATCATTGACTGTCTCTTAAAAGTACTTTTAAGCATTTTTCTGAATACAGGATTCCAATTCTGCTATTTGTCTTCTTTGCACATTTTTCCAAAGCAAAGGAATTTGAACACCACTCTTAGTGTCAATGATGTTGCATTTCACTAACAACATTTACCAGGTGTGATATATGCTCCATGGGGACAATAATTTTTGTCAGTTTTGTTTAATTTTATGTAACCAGAACCTAGATCCTGCCTGGTACATAGTAAGTGTTCAGTAAATACTCATTGAACTAATGTATTTGAGCCTGAGTTTTCTTAAAGCTGAGAAGTTTTGGTTATATAAAGTGCTGGTCAACTTCATCAATTTTATAAATTAAAAGTTATATGAAGATAACATTTAGGCTGGGCACGGTGGCTCACAGCTGTAATCCCAGCACTTTGGGAGGCCTAGGCTGGTGGATCACTTAGACCAGCCTGACCGACATGCTGAAACCCCGTCTCAGCTAACAATACAAAAAATTAATCAAGTTTGGTGGCAGACGCCTGTAATCCCAGCTACTCAGAGGCTGAGGTAGGAGAATTGCTTGAACCAGGGAGGTGGAGGTTGCAGTGAGCCGAGATTGTGCCACTGCACTCTAGCCTGGGTGACAGAGCAAGACCCTGACTCAAAAAAACAAACAACAACAACAAAAATTTAATATTACAAATTGTTTTCCCACTTCTATATCCTGTTCAGTTAGAGAATCTCTATTGAAAAACAAAAAATGAAGAGAATTAAAAGGAGAGCAAAATAAATAAAAACTAAATGAAATAATCCTTTAGAGAAATGAGTTGTGATTATACTTACCCTAAGAAAATATTTTAATTTGATAAAATATAATACATTTTTAAGGTGCAGAGAGGAGAACTGAGATAATGAAATTTTTAAAATGTTTAATCACATGTGTGTAGTACTGAACATTTTACACTGTTTATTTTAGAATTTGAGTATGTTGTTTTTGAATTCTATTTTTGATTCTGAATTATCCTACACACCAAATACTTCTTGTTCTTCCCAGAGGCAAAAATGCAGCTTTTCCTTTTTTGTCCTCCGGTTACTATTAGTTTATTAGTATGACCTTTTTTTTTTTTTTCAGTGAAAGAGTGCTCCTCTTAAATTTTCATTTATTATTGTGGCGAGTTTTATAAAGATGGAACATTGCAAAAGATTGTGTTTTATTGATTGGTAAAGTTGATTCAGGACTATAAAGGAGTGTGTTGAAGTATTAAATTAAATATTCGTTCTCTCTGTCCTGCTTCAGCCCCTTATTGGACGTTAAAGGGTATTACACAAATGAAATGATAAATCCAGTTTACATAGTTTTCTTATAGACATTGAACTGCTTCTTTCTTATTATGTCTGAATAAAACTCATTATCTATTTTGTTTCAGTAATAATTATGAGATTCCCTCCTAAGCAATTCTTTATTGTCTCCATTATTCTCCATCTTATAGAATACTCTGGAAAGGCAAGCATATAAATATGATAAAAGAATTAAGCTGTTGAAATAAATTAATTTATTGTGCAACAATGTATTCAAATCTTACTTGCTCAATGGATTTTACTTTAATGAAATTCTTCAAAGAACAATACATTAGGTTCCAAAGATTGAAATTATACATTAAGTAAAATGACTGAATATGTTGTGTCTCAATTTATAGAAAGTTTCAATTGAATAGTTAAGCTTTTAAATCATAAACACTTGCATAAATTAAAATATTTTCTTCAAATAACAGTATTAACTGTTGTTTTTGTATCCTTTGTTCTTGAACACAAAACTACAATTAAAGCAAAAACTAAGTTAAAGGTAAATTAAATACTATTATTTTACTTATACATATTTACTGAGCTTTATTATGCTTTTAAAATGCATTTTACATAAAGATTTCAATCTAATTTATTTTTACTTAGTATAATATGCCTTTTTAAGAGTATTTTGGATGTGTAAATGAGTAACTGAACAATTCATGAATTAAAGGGATGATCACAGACAACTTTGACATTTAAGTACATTGACTAATAAAGCATTTTTCTACTTATATGGGAAATGTTAAAATAAACAAGGAATTATTTTAATGGCATAATAATTGTTTCCAGAGATTTATGCATTAAATATTTAAGCATTTTATGAGTTAAATATCTCAGAAAAATTATATTCTCATGCTTTCCATTAGCACTACCAAGAAATCTATTATGACAGGAAAATCAGACTTGCAAAATCATTTTAGAGAGACTGATTTATTTCAAGATTGTACTTTATGTCTGTTCAGCCAAACATGCATTAACATAATGATTAAGAAAAATGTTAAAATTTATTGATAGATAAGCATTGATGTGAGTGAACTTTGGAATAAAATAGAATGGTTAATTTAGAAAATTCTCTTTATACAAAAATATATCAATGCATTTTCTTAAATACACACCATGTATTTCTGTGTAATCCAAGTGCTAACAGTTAGATGTATTAGGAATTAGCTCTAAAGCTTAGACAAACTATGCTTCTATTAGAATTTCAAGAAATCAAGATTAGACTTTAAGAGTATATCTCTGGACATGTATGCAGTTAGCTGCAGTATTGTTTCTTGATATATTTATACAAATTATAAAGGAGTTCTACATATAGCCTTATAAATGCATCCTCTATGATAAGTGCGCAAATACTCCAAAACCATACACAACTAAACTTTTGAATTATGGTGTGGCTAACACAAGCCAAGATTGTCTTTTGATTTGTGATTACAATGATTTGATATGAGAATATTGCCATTTGAAACTTCTTTATAGTTTAGGGTAATTATAATTAGAAGACAGGAAGTAAGTTTTGGCATCCAGATGTGAAGTTTCTGCTCTTTTAAGTCATATACATGTTTGTTTTTTAAAACTGTTGGTCGTTTGTTTGCCTTAGACGTTTTAGAAGCATACATGCTTCATTTTGTTAGCTTGGAAAAGTAACTGATAATATATTCGTTTTCCATGTTACCTGTGATAAAGATTTCAAAATATCTTAATCTGCAAACTGTAAAGTTGGATGCCATCTTTCTGTAGTATCCTAGCGTGTAACAAATGCATACATGTTATAAACGTCTCTGAACAAGTTAGTTTCAAATTTTAATATCTGGGATGTATGTTTGTCTTTGTCCCCCCTTGTTTTCTCTCTCCTCTTCCCATCTCTTCTCTCTGTCTCTTTCTCTTTCTCTCTCCCTCCCACTTATTTGCATATTTGCAGTATTTTAAGTGGAAACCCCACATAACTTGAGATGGAAAATATATTGTGTGTTGCTTACATTTACCTACATATCAGTTTTGCTATTTGCATAAAATAAAACACTTAATTGTTAACCCCGATCAATTAAGGTAAAGGGCTAATGCTTTTTAGTATAATACTAACAATACGTCTGCCTTCTGTGGGAGTTTATTGTCTTTTACAGAAGCCTATCAGCACATATTAGCTCTGTACAAAAACTCTTAAAGTTCAACAAGTTATCATTACGACAAGATTGTAATACGCATTGCAACTTTCGAGATTAAAATTTAATTGACCTCTTTTTTCTTTTCCTTTACAATATTGTTTTGTCATGAAGCTTCTTATAGCGCTTTTTTTTTTTAATTCCATGGAATATATGTTAGGAAACCATTTTATGACATGGATTTGGGAAAAGGGCTTGGCTATTTTTTCTGGTTATTTTCATTTTATTTGTCAGGGTCTTCAAAATGAAGTCTCAGCATATCTGTTGAAGATGTTTATTGGCAATGTACATCATTGAAAAATTAAAAGAGTGTGACAAAAGTACAGCTCAATCTTGGTTCCATATTAAAATCATAGGGAGAGCTTTTAAAAAGATACCGAAGTCTGGGTCCCATTTTAGACCTAGTGTATTAGATTTCTAGGGCCACTGTAACAAAGAACCAGAAACTGGGTACCTTAAAACCACAGAAATTTATTGTCTCTCATTATTGGAGTCTAGAAGTTCAAAATCAGGAGTTCATGAGGACCATGCTCCCTTTGAGATACTAGGTAGAATCCTTCGCTTTCTATAGCTTCTGGTAGCAGCTGGCAATCCTTGCCATTCCCTGGCTTGAAGCTGCACAAGTTTAATCTCTTCCTCTATGGTCACATGACATTCTTCCCTCCTATCTTCACATCTACTTGTAAGGACACGACTCACGTGGGATTAAAAGCCACCCTAATCCAGTATGTTCTCATCTTAACTAATTATGTCTGCAAAGACTCAGTTTTCAAGTACATTCATATTGATAGGGACCAAAGGTTAGGGCTTCAACAGATCTTTTTGGGGAACACAATTAAGCCATAATACTCAGTAAACCAGAATCTCTGGGAGTGAAACTCAAGCATAAGCGCATTTAAGAACATGCCAGGTGATTCTGATGTGCAGCAGGATTTCAAACCATCATGGTGCTAATGGAATCACTTTGACCAAAGATGAGCACGATCATCATTCTCACTGGCAGTACAAAACCTGGAACCTCCTATTTGTTTTCCGTATTAAGTTAACATTGACATTTTGGAAACATTAGCCTCCTACAGGCCAATTACATTTTAGATTTTTTTTCTCTATTTTGTAATTGCATATTTTCTCTCTAATAAGGAATAATGTACTAATTATTTATAAGTACATTATACATCTACATACTTTATATAGTTTTCTTCCACACTTTTAACTATTTATTATTACAAAGACAGTTCATCAAGGCCTGTGTCTGTTAATAACTGAGGGTATAAATATTTTGCTGCTCAAAGTAGAAAATGTTCACCAATGGGTACCTTCTTTCTTAATCTGTAATTCCATTTATAATAGCTAATTGGAGACATTTATAGAATCTACTTGCAGATTTGTCTAATGGAGAATGTACAGAGCTTAGAGAGGGAGGTGTGGAGAGAGACAAGACTGTTGACATAAAATAGAGTATCAGGAAGCACAGTACCAAATTTCCCTGGGACATGATTGATATATATTTCATAAATGTGCCCTTAATACAGTTGTGTGGTTGAATTGAAGCTAGGTGTGGTAGGTACTCTGAGAATTATTTAAACCAAAGAAAATTATTCCAATATTAAATAATAATCCATTTCCATGATGCCTGAAAATGTGACTGAGTATGTCCAGAGCAGTACTAGGATGGAATACCTGTTAAAAACTCCTCTGGTATTATTATTATGGTCAGTCATGTTGATAATGTGTTTATTACATGATCTTTAGATACTTGCAGAAATAAGGGAATATATTTAAAGATTTCTTCAAAATGATAAATAATCCTTCTTTATTCTCTGAGATCTTTGTTGTCTAATGGGTTCTTATTTGTTTATTTTTGGGCGTCTTCCTAGGGCTTACTTTTTCTCCAGAGTGGATTGACATTCGCCATTACTGCAGTCACGCTTACCTGTAGAACCATAGTTTCATAGACCATCTTTTTCTACTTTATTTGGCTTGCTCAAGATAAACATATCTTTTAGTACAGTTAAATGCTGATGAAGTAAAGTGTTTATTCTCTTTACATTTCTTATTGTATTGAGAAAAAACAACATTCATTAAGTAAAGATCCGTTGTATTTAACATCTTTTCTACCCTCCTTCCCTCTCTTGCTGGTGCAGGAGCGTGTTCCTGATAGCCCCTCACCTGCCCCCTCTCTGGAGGAGGGGAGAAGGCCTGGCAGTCACCCATCATCACATCGCAGCAGCAGCGTGTCCAGCTCCCCTGCTCGGACTGAGAGCTCTTCTGACAGAATCCGTAGGTCTCATACTTCTACTTGTCACCATTTTAAACTTTATTAGGGTTCAGCTGGATTTTCTAATCAACATGCCCTCATTCCAAATAGATCTCAGATGGATCATGTTCTGAAACTCTGTAGCAATAGCCATCTCTCAAAATTATGTTTCCCAGTTTGCAATATCATGAGGTATGATACTACATTAACAGGTCCTGATATAAATTTCCTCTCTTTGATGCCACATATAAAGATTTGAGCTATGAAACAGAGAAAATAAGTAACCGTTTAGATTGGTTTCTGAAGTAAACACAGCCAATTCTCAAATATCTAGTGTCTTGGTACACTGTTTATGGATTATTCAACATCATTCCTCAAATCCTACTCTGCCATTTTTGTAATTCACTGACTTTTAAATTTTATCCTTGTGTTAATGGAGATATCCACAAAGAGAAATCAGTTAAATTCAAAATACTAAACTTAAAAAGCATACATTTCTAAGTCATTCAGGTGGTCAATGGATTAAATAATTTGAAATTAGCTAAGTTTGAGAATTTGAATTAGTAACAATCAATAATGCATAGTATTGCCATATATTGTTATTTTTAAAATTTGGAAAGTAGGGCTGTGTGTTATTTTATAATATTTTCACAATATTTAATCTTGGTAGTTATGGCCAAGAAAATTAAGAATAAAGTTAAAATGCCATCCAATTAACAAGTGATTTTTGTGTCTGTACAATAATCTCAGATTGTTCTTTTGATAAATGACTATATTAAAAGAGAATAACTTGTTTGATAAAACCTATATATATTGCTTATTCCCAGAATTTAGCTATTATTTTATGCAATTATGTTTATAGCATACACTTCATCTAATTGTACAAAGTTTATTTAAGTTATTTGGTTGTCGAGAATATTTTCATAATAGGAAAGCATTTTCTAGAAAGTCACTTTATAGGTTATAAAGGAATGTATGCATAAAGTGAAAATTGTTGATCTGGGAGCTATTGAAGTGGATAATTTAAAGATTAAGTTGAATGCTGTGTAAATAATTATAAATAAAAGATAGTCAATTATTGGCAATTATATAGTTCAACATAATACTAAATATATATACTTGCTTTGGCCTGCCGGAAACGTATTTCCTTAATTTTGTAACTTTATATACAATTTTAAAACAGTTTTCAAATGAAATATTTACTGTATATTTTTATGGTATGTTGACACTAGAATCAGAAATTTAATGATAAATATTGGTTTCATTATAAGATATTGTCATTGGAAAGGTGCTGTCCTAGAGAAAAAAAAATTGGAACAAAATGAAAATGATGGACAGATGGGGGAAGATTTGAATGAGTTTTGTTATACATTCATGTTATTTTAGTAATGGTAATATTCTTTTTTCAATTTTTGATAGAAACAAAGGAGACATTTTTGTATGCCTGGGATACCATAATTGTTGAAATGGAAATACATCCACATCCACACACATACATATATATGTACATATATGTAACATATTACTTTAAAGTAATTTTAGACTAACAGAAAATTTTCAAATATAATGCAAATCATTCTTATGTGTTTGTCATCCTGATTTACCTCATCAGTCAACCAATCAAGTTCTCTGAAAGTGATATCTCAATATAGGCATAATGTCACCTAGTGCTTCTGTCATAGATTTAATACAACTTTATCTCAAATTCATCATCGTTTATCTTCTAGAAACAAGAGCATTATTTTACATAAGAGAAAAATGATCAAAATCAGGAAAATAACATTATTATAGTACTAAAATTTGAACTACAGTTTTTATTTAAATTGCACTGGTTTTCCCACCAATATTTTTTAAAGCAAGATTTTTTTTTTTTTCTAGCTGCAAAAGCCAATCTATGATCACACACTACAATTAGTTGTCATATTCTCTTAGTATTCTTTAATCTGGAACAGTTCCTTAGTCCATTTTGTCTTTCAGTAACTTTTTTTTTTTTTTTTTTTAGTACAGGCCATTTATTTTGTAGAATGTCCCTCAGTTTGGATTTTTTTATGTTTCCTTTTGATTAGTCTTAGGTTATGGATGTTTGGTGGGAATCACACAGCTGTGATAGTGTGTCCTTCTTAGTGAATCATTTCAGGAAACACACATTTCTACAGTACCAGCAATAAGTTTATCACTTTCTTAAGGTGGTGACTACTAGGTTTCTCTATTGCAATATTACTTGTTGTTGATGTTTACCTTTGTAGATAGTGAGTGCCTGGTGAGAAAAATATCTTAAGACTATGCAAATATTCTGTTCTTAGCAAACTTCCATTCACTAGTTTTAGAATTATCCCTTGATCCTGAAACAATTATTATTAATGGTGTTTGCCAAATAGCAATTTCTACTATATTATTCTTATATTTTAAAAATTTACATTTTCCAGATAAAAATCTTGTTTTATGCAAAATAAAAATAAAGTGAGGTGATGTCATTTTCAATATTTTCTGCATATTCTGACAAATTATCATGTTTATCAGTTATCACAGTGTTTTTAGGGATAGATTATAAATTTAAAGGTAGACCATTATATTAATATTATAGTTACTGTTGAGTCCAAGAGAGTTTAATTGACTTATTGGAACCTTGTGTGTTATGGTGTTTTTGTGTTTTGTTTTGTTTGTTTTCTTTTGGGCCATAATAGCGGTCCATCAGAATGGGTTGTCCATGAACCAGATGCTGATGGGCTTATCACCAAATGTACTTCCTGGGCCCAAAGAGGGAGATTTGGCCGGTCATGACATGGGACATGAGTCAAAAAGGATGCATATTGAAAAAGGTAATGTATGATTATATATTCCTTGTTTTTCCCGATTCAATAGATTTTAGAACTAGATTTTAATCACACAATGAAGTCTATCTCTACATCATGTAAAAAAAAAGCATATAAATGTTTTTAAAATCCACAATATTAAGTACAAATTAAACCTATTCATTCAACAAAAAAGAGATAAGAATGAAGACCTGCTGCACTTCTCTTACACAACAGGTAAGTTACAATTTAGTTACCAGTACATTAAAAAAAAAAGTCCCAATTGTTATCTCTCAGTTCCTAAAGGGTCTGCTATTTGACTTTTTCAATACCTTCAGGGTCACTGTCATTTTACTTAGCATGATAGAACAATAACAATATAGAAAGGATTATTCTGTCTTCTTTTGAATTAAAAAAACAGTTTACAGACCAATAAGGAAACAGAAATATATTTTATATGTCAATGTACTACTAGTTGTTTCAAGATATACCAAGAAACCTCAGGTTCTACATAGCTAAAAAAGTTTCTTATATTTTGTTAATGTCAATCAAACCCATTTTTCACAGGCAAAAATGTGTATTTTCATGCCTTATTTGATAATTCCATGAAAAAATTAAAATATTTTAGTCAGCATATTAGAAATTTATTCTTGGAGATGCAAATACGTATTTTCAAATTGTAAGTGTTAAATTGTGGATATAAGAATCTTCCCACCTATTTTTTATTTTAACTTAATATTTTCAAACTTTATAAATATAGATAGGATAATTTGCTTATCTTTTTTTGACAAAGCCATCAAATAATCAGTGTTGTGAATAAGGGTATTTCTTTGGAAAACATAAAAGGGGCACAATTAATCAGCTGTCAACAAGGAAAGGAAACAAAATTGGGTATTTAAATAATTGAACAGGAATAAATGCGTGGAGGGAGATTAAGTTAAGGAGGGGTACCTTCTTCCCACCAAAAAGACTACTCACAAAAAAGTAAAAATGCTTACATAAAACATTTCCCTTTCAGCATAAAAATAGCTCTGCTAAATCCCTTAGAGAGAAGGAGTATATTTCTACAAATTAGATTATTTGAGCTATGGAATGTCAGAGAGAAAACAATAATCTAGGTACTAACATGTTAACATCTAGGCATAATTGAGAAATAGAGACATTAATAAAATTTTTACATTATTTATTGTGAAACTTGATATCAAGTGCTATTTATATTAGGCATTCGAATGCAGTGCACGACTAGGTCAGATGGTCTCTAAATTTTTAACTTACATTTTTTTCACAACCTCTTCATTAACAATAAAGCAGAATGTCATGTATATTATCCATCATATTTATTTTGACCTATACTTTTGATATTTAATAAAAAATCCATGCATAGCAATATTGTAAAAATTAGTATAGTGGGGCTGGGTGTACTGGCTCACACCTGTAATCCCAGCACTTTGGGAGGCTGAGGCAGGCAGATCACGAGGTCAGGAGTCGAGACCAGCCTGACCAATATGGTGAAACTCCGTCTCTACTAAAAATACAAAAATTAGATGGGCGTGATGGTGCGCACCTGTAGTCCCAACTACTCGGGAGGCTGAGGCAGAAGAATTGCTTGAACCCTGGAGGCAGAGGTTGCAGTAAGCCGAGATCGCGCCACTGCACTGCAGCCCGGGTGACAGAGTGAGAGTCCATGTCAAAAAAAAAAAGAAAAGATAAGAAAAATTAGTATACTGGTAAAACATAAAGTTTCATCGAAGACTCAAGTTTTAAGTAATGATATTTAAATATAATAATTAAATGTATGGGTGTCACAATCATTCTCCACTAGGGTTGAGCTAAAGGGTAAAGCCCTACAGAAAATTATTTGAGTCACTCTTTTCTCAATTTTCCCTTACATACTATTTACCAAGTTTAACTTGGGATGCATAAGAAGGAAGTTAATTTATGTTATACAATGAATGTCAGGATATTAGAGCTAAATTCTCTTGCAGCACCATGGTGGAGAAGGGCTAAGAGAAATATACAAGTCCAGAGGTGGTAGTGAAGAGAAAAATACAAAAGGAATGACCAGTACTAGAATTGGAATAACAAATCTCACTAGAATTTTTGGTGGAGAGCTTTGTGCAATGTTATCCTTTGAATTGACCTATATTTTTCATAACTATTCCTTTTTCATATGTCAAGATTTCAATCTCTCTACTTATTTATTATTATTATAATTTTGCCACTGTGGAGCATTTGTTGAAATAATATACTAGGTTGATGATCTAGGCATGTTTTAAAGTATTTGCTTTGTTATTTGGAAGTTATTTCTTCATTGCTATCCTTCCACTACTAGAATGTACTACATTTGCTTTAAACAGACAAGGCAGTCTTTGAGTGCATACTGATCTGGGCTGAATTACTGGAAGTTTCTAAGAGATAGACAAGAGTTAAAACAACTGTGGAGATCACATGCTTTAAGGATTAATAGCAAGGCCAAAGGTGGAATTTTCTGACCTTCATAAAGCACATTTATATGAAACACATTAGAACATTCTGACCACGAATATACATAAAAACTTACTATATCACTAATGGTACTTACATCAAGGTTTTATAAATTGTTTTGCTGTAAGAACAAAGTCCTTGACCATAGCCCGACAGTTTCCCAATATTTTGACATATATTTTATAATGACAAATAAATTTTTAAGATTCTCCCTAGAAATGTGAAAGTATCATTGATTTCAAATGTGTATATGTAATCTCAAAATTTTAATAGATTTTGATACTATTCTAGTAAGCGTTTTGTTATGTGATGCTTTTCTCTTGTGTGTACCTTCTTTTATCTAGTTTTTAATATAGTGAATTAATAGTAAATATTCATAGGCTTTCTAAATTGATAGAAACTACGAAATTAAAAATTGTTTTCTTTCATGACAAAATTTTCATGGGCCTCATAATATCCCTGTAACTTTCCTACAACTCATATCTCTATCAAACAGATAACTTCATTTAGAGATAGATATTTGTGGAGAAATTAATTGTATGTTCGTTACATTTTAGGCTTGAACCTATATGTAATTTGCTGCCTGCCAACTAAATTATTCAAAGGACAATTAATTCTTTAGAAAACACTGATTCCAAAAATAGATGCCAAAATTTATTTGTATTCTGAGAATCACTGTGGTCTGAAATCTTAAGCATCAGTAACTTAAACATTTTATGTTCTTCTTAATATTAAATAGCTATGGGCTCCATTCTATTAGCCCAAAAAATTAAGTCACCATTAGTTGAAGGACCAGAGGTTTTAACTATTGAGTAAATTCATTCCATTTTAAAAATAAAGTATGCTCACATAAGGTTTTGAGCTTAGGGAGAGTATAATTAAGGCATATATATATGCATATATATATATATATACTATATATATAAAATACAAAAACAAATGTTATATATATAACAATATAAAATACAAAAATATAAAAATACAAAATGCAAAAACAAAATGTTATATATATATATAAAACAAAAGTTTTAGGCTTGAATCTATGTCAGTTCACATCCATATATATGTATATATATATATGTATATATATATCCCATATATGTATATATGTATATATATATGGATATATGTCTAATATACATATATGGATATATGTCTAATATACATATATGGATATATGTCTAATATACATATATGGATATATGTCTAATATACATATATGGATATATGTCTAATATACATATATGGATATATGTCTAATATACATATATGGATATATGTCTAATATACATATATGGATATATGTCTAATATACATATATGGATATATGTCTAATATACATATATGGATATATGTCTAATATACATATATGGATATATGTCTAATATACATATATGGATATATGTCTAATATACATATATGGATATATGTCTAATATACATATATGGATATATGTCTAATATACATATATGGATATATGTCTAATCCCACATATATATATGGGATTACAGCACCCACCACCACGCCTGGCTAATTTTTGTATTTTTAGTAGAGACAGGGTTTCACGATGTTGGCCAGGCTGGTCTCGAACTCCTGATCTCAGGTGATCCACCTGCCTTGGCTTCCCAAAGTGCTGAGATTACAGGGCGTGAGCTACCACACCTGGTCTATTAGTTCTGTCTCTTTCTCTCTCTCTCTCTCTCTCTCTCTCTCTCTCTCTCTCTATATATATATATATATATATATATATATATATATATATATATATATATATTCACATCCATATATATATATATATATGCATGAAAACTGTCTTTCAGCTTTTCCAAACATCCGGAGTCCTCAAGAGCTTTCTGTGTTTTAAAACATTGCTGATCTTTTCCCTCATTCTAAATATAGTGGAATAGGCTGTAATAATTGACATTTGTGGTATATAAATAGGCTCACTGTTTCTTGATGCTAGAGCTCTCTGTTTATCCTCCACACATTTGTCCACTGACGCTAGTTTACAGTGTTGCTCTCTCATGCATAATTTGTTTTGGTTTTTCTTAAATTGCTGCTACTTTCAACAAATTTTGGAGCACACTTCTTACCTTGCCTGTAACTCAATATGTACATTTTTGTTATTATACGATTTACCTAATTTTTGATTGATCAAAAATTATATATATGATGGAGATAAGCCTATAATATTAACTTCTTCCAATTATAGAAAACTTAAGCATTTATAGTTGTGACTAACTGTTGCATACCTAATTTGTATTATTGTATTTTGGTCTTGGATTAAGTAGTCCAATGTGATGTAATCAATGAGTAAATATTTACTGAAAGCTAGATATGTGAATGAAAAGAAATGAAATGCAAATCAATCGCTCTCTTTCTCTGTCTCTCCCTTTCCTCGTTAAAATTATACAGATTTTTTTCTTGATATGTCATTTCTCCTACAGATAAGGCTTTTCTCTTCATTTGTTTTCATAAGAAATAAGAAAACTTTCTTTCACTGGTGACAACTTCAGGAGACCAACATTTCAGAGGCAGGACTAATCTGAGGGAGGCAGGAAATCCAGGGGATTTGCTTCAGGCCATAAAGCCCTTCTTTTGTGTCATATTCTGCTTGGTGGGGAATGCTCAAGATTTCCAATGCTCAACATCTCCAATGCTTAACATCTTTGTATAAAAACTTTTCATACTGGTAATCTAAAGTGAAGGACACAGCACTAAAGACAATAATGTAGTTAGCAAACTGGCCATATTTGGCTTTTTGTCTCTTCTTTATATTTTAGTCTTAGCATCCAATCTTATGGACCATTTTCATACAAAGCCCTTTTGAAAGAAAATCATTATGTATCACTTTATTCAAGTTTTTGGAAATAATTTTTGAAATATATTTTTATTTGTGCAGTTCTCATTGTTTAAAAATCCTAACTTAAATCAAGATTGAGTCTTCAAAAATGCAGCAACATGAATGGAACTACAGGTCATTGTGTTACGTGAGATAAGCCAAGTACAGAAAGACAATAAGTACATGTTCTCACATACATGGGAACTACAAAAGCGTATCTCATGAAGGTAGTTAGATTGCTGGTTTCCAGAGGCTGTTTAGAACAGTGGGGAGGAGAGAGGATTAATGGGTCCAAATACACAGTTAGATAGATGAAATAAGACCTAATGTTCAATAAATCAATAGGGTGACTATAGTTTACAGCAATCTATTGTATATTTCAAAATACCTAGAAGAGGATAATTTCAAATATTTCTAGCATAAAGAAAAGACAAATATTTAGGGTGATGGATATCCCAATTCTACTGATTTGGTCTTTAAAAATTATGTAAATGTCTTAAACTATCGCATGTACTCCCAAAATATATACATCTATTATGTATCAATAAAAAATTAAATTATAAGTAAACAAATGGCTTTTTTCTTTTAAATTCTAAATAGATCTTATTCAAATTAATCAATACTAAATATTACATACAACAACTATATGGGAGCCTGTTAGTATCTCCTGTGTCTATATAGAATTGCATAGACTAAAAGCCTTTTTTCTTTAAAATTTTCTATATTTTGATAATGTTAACACATATTATAGGGCCATGAGTATTTTCACTTGTAAAATTCTCTAACACGCAACTTCTCCTTTACTTATACCATCTAAATATATCTTTTGTTGGCATATCTCAAAGTCTCCTGTAAAATATTCTATTACCTACCTATGTAATTTTCCTCCTCAGTTTCCATGCCTCGAAAATAAGTGTTGAACTTAGTGCCATCACTTTTAGTTCTGTGATTATAACACTGGACAACAACAACTTTCTTTGGATCCCAGAGCTCTTTCTTAAGTAGATAGCAGATTTCATATGCAAAGCCGTAGCTCAGCTTGCTTAAGACACTGGTTTTGTTATTTTATGAATTATTTCTAGGAGCAGAGCTTGTAATAATATTTCAATGACAATTGAGGAAAATACTTACTGTAAGATATTCATAACAGCCCTGTAAATGATGGGCAATTGGTATAAAATATAGACTATAATATTTATTTACTTTTTACCCATGCGCCTTGATGACCATCACGTCACACTGAACTTTCAAGTTTCTCAAACATCCTCTGTCCTTTCCTACATGATTTCTGTTTCTTTCCTTACATGGGATATGTATGCCTTCCTATCCACTAGTGTTCAGCCCAAACTTCTTCAGGGCAGGAGCTATGTCTTCTCACCTTCTTTGTATACTTAGCACAGGGTCTGGCATTAGTGGGTACAATAAAGTTCTTTTCAGAGTTAAGTGAGATAATATATGTCTGGAGTGCTTGATGCATATAAATATCCAATGGAAACCATTACTACTATCAAGTTAGCTAATGAGCAAGTGGTTTGATTATATAAATTGGAAAATATACATGCTTTAAACCTCTGAATTAGAATATTATCTATTTACAATTCATAATACCACAGTTATCATGATTTACATTTGACCCCAATAGGAAATTTGAAATTATAATATTGTAGACAGCACTTTGATTACATATAGCTAAAATGTAATGTGTACAGTTTTGGAGGAAAAAATTGCTAAATTAACTACATTAATCAGCTATTTTATATGTCAATGATTGTATTAAAAATAATCTTTATTTATTTAATACAATTTCAATGAACCTAGAATTCATTCAATAAATATTTTGAGGAGAAACATGTGTGTGGCTGTGTAAATCACAGGTGATAGTGGGTATTAGATGTGAATAGGCTACAAGAGAGTGGGTTAGAAATCAAACAAGATTCCCTCTGATGGGTAGGAATTCTGTCTTTGAACTACTCACACATGCCACTTGTAAAGTAAATTACTACAGTTTTACATAAAGGTTACATTTCCCAGGAATTTATCATACAAGCAATATGAATATTATATTTAAAAATAGAGTCATTTATTGGTGTTGACAACCTCAGTGGTTTCTCAATTATATCTCCAGTACATCTTTTCTATGTTTAGATTTTAGCAACTTTTTTGTATATTTGGAAAACTGAATCACGTTAATATCTACTGATAATTTTCATGCACTATATGTCAAAGAGACAAGAGCAGTCTTATAAATGCTATAAATTTATACATTATAGTAGTTTTACTTGTGATCAGATGAGATGCCTTTTCCGCATTTAAAAAAACTATTATTCCACTTAATCTGCTTTATTTTCTTAATACGGTAGGTGTAGAATGACTCACTTCCTCACTGTTTAAGAGATTGTTTTTATATAGTTGTGCAAATAGATAATATTTTTAAAGCATTAAACGTGAGGTAGAGAACAAATTACTAGTAGACTCACTTATCAGTTTCACATTGAAATTTGCTTCATTTAATGATTTATCAATCATCATAAATTCCCTTATTTTATTGCTTTCATCTAAGATGTGATTGGATAACTTATTATTTGGCTTAATGAATTGGTTATCTCTAGTTTTTTTTTCCTGCAATTTACTAGCATATTGCTAGTAGATTTCTTTCAGTTTTGCTAGTTTCCAGTTGATAGTTTGCATAGTCTAGTATGGAAGTGATCTACAGAGGAAGGTTATGTGTATTTTTTACTATGTCTATTTGAGTGAGAATTTACCCCAAATTGAAACTTTTTCTTTTTCTTTCTTTCTTTTTTCTTTTTGGTGACAGAGTCTTGCTCTGTTGCCCAGGCTGGAGTGCAGTGGCACAAAACATGGTTCACTTCAACCTCCACCTCCTGGGTTCAAGTGATCCTTGGGTCTCAGCCTCCCGAATAGCTGGGACTTCAAGCACACGCCACCACACCGGCTACTTTTTGTATTTTTAGTGGAGATGAGGTTTTACCATGTAGGCTAGGCTGGTCTCGAACTCCTGGGCTCAGGCAATCCACCCACCTCAGCATCCCAAAGTGCTGAGATTACAGGCGTGAGCACCACACAGTGCCTGAAAGTTAATTTTGAGAATAGTAATTAACAATCCAACATTGTTTAGTGGAGCTGAAGATGTTTTTATTTTGCACATTTTAATTTTGTAAATGGACAGCTATGTTTTTTTCCTCAAAGAACTATAAAACACTTGTTTTCCTTCCTTGGTTAGACTTATTTAGAAATGTACAAAAATGACTGTTAAAAGTTCAGTGATTCTAACAGCTTTCTTATTTTTTAATATGAAAGAATAACAAAATTCAAATTCTGAGTTTCCACAGATATCAGATTACTCTGTATGATGATGTTTTTATGGAATAAAGGAATAGAATATCTGAAACTGCATATATTTTGACCTAATAGTTTTGAAGTTTCTAACCTGAGATATAAACTGCCACATGGACATATAATAATTTGACATAATAATGACTTTTCTACAAACAAAGTTTTTTATCTTATGGCTAATCATCACTAAATACAAATAAATTTCTTGTTTGTTCAAAATATCTTCCAAGTATCTAAATTTTTAAAAAGAGAAAGTGTTGCCACTTAAAAACATATTTTCAATTTTGCCTAACACTCACAGTCTACTTTTATTAAAATTTTTTATAACCTCACGTGTGCACACGTATACCCCTGCATACACACAAATGCTTTAACTTCTCTTGGTAGATGATGGAGTGATCTTGCATTAAATGCTGTATTATAGGTTAAGAAGCAGAGTAACACCCCTGTTGTTTCTTGTGCTTGGAGCAGTTTGAATTCTTCCATCAAATTGGTAGGATGATTTAACACATTCAGTCAGCCTTGTTTGCAGGGCTTGTAAATAATAGCCAAGCTTAGGTAAATCCCAAAGACACTAGAACTAATTTGAAGTTTATATGAAATAGATCAAAAGTTAATATGGAACTAGTGGTTATTATGTTTAAATGCATAGTAACCTGATGATATTTTGAAGGTATTTTAAAGGAGATATTGCCCACCTGCTATAGAAAACTGGGTAGTGTTTTTCTTTGACTTTTCCTTGCTTACTACCACTTAATCTTGTCCTTTTGACAAATTATTCCTAGAGAGGTATGTGATAACTTCTGTGTATAACAGTTTTGTCCCAGTAGAAGCTGCATTTTAGATTTTCTTTAAAATTTTACATTACTATTGTTGCTAGTATCTTATGCTACAGTTTCAGAATATTAAACAAGTACAATTGTTTTAACTACTGTGAAATTGACAGATGAAGCTGAAAACCAAAAGCACCTTTCATGGGATTTTAAACACCATTTTCCTCCATATGCCATCCCAATTATTATTTAGATATTACATTCCTAATTTACTGTTAAGGTTGATTAGAATTCAAGCCTCTCAAAAGCATGCACCAAAGGTCTTGGGCTGTGGAAAACATTTTTATAAAATAATCCATTAATGCAGAGGAGTGCAACTAAATTAGTTAGCAATTTGCTGAGCATGAATTAATGAACAGAGCTTCTTCCAGCTCCCAGAGTTGTAATTTTCATAATAACCTCAGACCTTTATTTGGCAGGTTGTTTAGTTTTTTCGTTTGAAGGTTTTCATTAGTCTAATGAGGACTGTGCAAGGGCGAGCAGTCAGCACAATTTACATGGGGAAGCTATCATAATAAATGAAGCAATTTGAATAACACGCAAGGGTTTATGCAACAAGATAAGAAGAGATTGTAGAGCGAGATTTAGAGGTAACCAATACATTAGACCAACTAATAACTGAAGTAATCCCAATAAAAGGCTTAAGTGAAAGGAATGAAATTAATGATATATACAAAGTTGTAATGATATGATACATGATTCATTAGATTAATAAAATAAGTATTCAATTGTTTTTAGTGCTTTTGGTCTAAGCTTTGTTTATATCAGACATTTTAATTAGGATTGTTCTCTAGATCACTTTGCTTAGTTAACTTTTAGACCATAGCTGAGGTTTTTAATGATATTTTTTCCTTCTTATTTAATCTTTATAGCCTTGATAGTTCATTGAATTAATTATAAGCAATATATTGTGTATAGAAATGCTTTTTAAAAGTAATTGCATATAGCTCTACCTAAGTGGTGATTAAACTTTAAGAATGAATGCTCAATATGTTTCTAAATTCTTAAAAACAACTGCTTTTGCTTCTACTCCAAGCAAGTAAAGTACCCTTATGTTTTAATGTTCTATAATTTCATATCAAAATAGTAATAACTAAGTATTATTTTATTGGTATATTTCAGGAGGAGCCATTTATTAAATACATTATTAGAAATTTATTATATCCAATGTAAATCTTTAAGATACAAGTTAAAAAATTTACTTTAAAAAAGCCATAAATTAATTTTCTTCTTTATATATCCCTCTTTTGAAAAATGTAATCTGGTGCACAAGTGCTTGAGAATTATACTTTTGTGAAGGTAAATCAGTCTGACAATCCTGTGTGCTTTTACGAAGCTGTGATCTGAGGAAACAGTTGATAGGATGATTTAAAAAAATTTTATTGCAAGCAATATAAACTTTAGAAAGCTGATCTGTTTGACATATGGAGCCAAATTACTTTAAGTAAAATGTAATTTTCTACATAAAAATGTATCAGCCTTCACTGGATCACTACCTAAAGGGAATTCCCCTTCTACTCAGATATCTGTATAAGTGGCCAAAATTGATGGATATTTATGAAGGCTTTGCCATTCTGTGCTCTTCTTCTAAGTTTGGAATTACTGCATGCCTCTCTGCCTTGATTTCAAATCACAGCTTCTTGGATGTAGAAAATTTAATAGATAATTATCTTCCCTTATGTTAATGAAGGGAACAAGTTGTTTAGTCTTCATTTGTGAATATGTTAAAGTTATGTTAGGATACTTTTAAAAAATCATGATGGCTATATATTTCAAACTTGTGATTACATTTGTCTTTATGGTTCTTCATTTAAAAGACAGCACAAATGAATTATTTTGTGGACTATATTTTGTTAAAAATTTTTCAATAAAAAATACTTTCAGAAGATGAGACAATCATTAATTAGTTGAATGTTTCACAGGTTCATCCCTTCCTTTCCTTCCTTCCTCCCTCCCTTCCTTCCTTCCTTTCCTCCCTCTCTCCCTCCCTCCTTCCCTCCCTTCTTCCTTCCTTTCTTCTTTTCTTCTTTCTTTCTATCTTTATTTAAAAATCGTGATAACTATGAGATACTTTGAGGTTACTAATGAAGCATGAAAATAAGTATATAATGCTTTTATACTTTCTTCAATTTGCTATATATTGACCTTATTATTTATCATGATTGTTATTATTTATTATCCATTCCATAATAACACAAGTAATCTATTATGGAAAAATCTTGAATTCACAAAATAGTTTTATATTCGTCTAAGAGATGACTATCACTGGAAGCACTCTAGCATGAGGGTAAGAAAATATCCTCGGGATTAGACTTCTCTATTTAAGTCCTGGTTAAAATTTCGAACTTGGGAAATTAGCGAATGTCCGTGACCTTCAGTTTCTTCATCGGTAAAAATTCAGTTTGTAGTACTTGAAAAAAGCAAGTTTGTTTTTATAAAAATTAGCAAAACTGTTCCATCTGTATGGAGCACTGTATACGTGTTGTGCCATATCACTCAGGGTCCTATCAGAAAACAGACAGCTCATAGAAGTAAGATAATTCAAGGTGTAGGTACAGAGGATGATGCAGTAATCTAGGGCTTAGTAGAAGCCAGGCTGTCACATTCTGGTGCTCCATCTGATCTGCTTGCTGGGTTGTTTAATTAAGTAATCTATCCATAGGACTTGGATTCATCCTAAAGTCACACAGATCAGAGAGGAAGGCAGAGAGGGTGGACAGTGAATCTGGAGGGCCCTGATAAGATTTGTAATTCACCAGGTTGCAAGTTCCATGAATATGTGGTGGGGTCTATATTATTTACAACTGGATCTTCAGTGTCTGTCACAAAGACTATCATACTGCAGTGTGTTGCATAAAAGAGAATGATTTATCTGTTCAATTATCATTTAATATAAGTGATAGCATTTAGAACAATACAATTCCAGGAAACATTTGTGAAAGGACATAGGGAAGTTTTGCAGTCATAATCTCATACATTTAAGTAAAATCACAGTAAATGATTTCTTAACAGCATTATTTTTTTAAGTGAGCAATTTTCTCTATTAATTTATTCATTCAGAAATTTGTTATTACCTGCTATGTGGTAAGCACCACTGTGCTTGTTGCTAAAAAGTTAGAGATGAATGTTAAACAAAAGGACGTAGGACATTGTTGTATTTTCAAACCATACTGAGAAGTTTTTGAATAAAATCAATGATAATGAAGACTAAACCCATATATAGGAGTTTATCTAAACTATAACCTCTATTCAAAGTAGTCATGTGTCTCATGGCTTTGTTTTTCTTTTACATTTTACTGGCAATAAGGAATACGCAGGAAGATTTCCATTCTCTCTCTGCCACACCTACCCAATAGATATAGTTCTTTCTACACCTATGGCTTGTTTGAGAATTGTCATAGGCAGTTGAGTGCTTTAGTGGTAAGGTGGGATGATTCTAGAGAAAGATATGTGGTAAATCACTATCGTATTAAGAGAGAAGGTGTGGTTCTTCTTGGGAAATCTTAGTGGAAATAGCCTATTTAAACCTATGGCTGAGGATAAAATGCCTTTCTGAGTTTTGCTATAGTTGTGTGCTTTAGTGGTAAGGTGGGACAATTCTAGAGAAAGATATGTGGTAAATCACTCTCGTACTAGGAGAGAAGGTGTGGTTCTTCTTGGGGAATCTTAGCAGAAGTAGTCTATTTAAATCTACGGCTAAGGATCAAGTGCCTTTCTTAGTTTCGCTATTATTTACAGATGGGACAGAGACTACGCATGACCTATGTCATAAATTAAGTATTGTAATCAAGGGGAATTTTTTGGAGATGAATGGTGCTACATTCTCCATATCAGTATTGTCCCCCTTATATCTAGAAAAATATCCAAATCAAGGCAGATGGGGAGTTTAAGCAATATATCTACTTACCTCACAAGATTTCAGTTAGATTCCCTATGCATCTCTTAGAAAAGTACTTGGCCCATGGTATCTGATCAAGCATGTTAGTTCTCATTGTCTACTGAGAAATAAATCAGAATTTTAACAATGTCTCTCTTTAATCATAGTAATAGAAACATTATGCGAATCAAGAGTTTTTTGATGTTTTTTCCTCTGAATTGAAATGTATTCATTTGTTCTTGTAGAGTTTATTATTTGTTTTAATCATCTAAATATCTTGATTTTTCAGTTCATATCATCCTTACTAGGATTCAACTTGATTTTACGAAAAACACTGGATTAAATATGCATAAAAGACTCCAATGTGGGATGTGTGCTGATTCCAGTGTATCCTCCAGACATTACTGAGACCAAAAGTGATGCAATTACATTTTCCTTTTGTTGCTTTTGCATTTCTTGTAGTGAACCTAAGTCCTTCAGATCCCAATAAACATACAACCTAAATTCTTCACATACCATAAACACAGACCTTGTTGTTTCCTGACTTAAATCCAGTTTTCAAACTTAGGCAGTGGGTGAAAGGAGAGAGAAGTCTATGCCAATAATATTGGAAAATCTCTTTTATGCCATTAATTTCAGTTCCTCAAGGATCTTCAATCTTTCCTTTCATGAATGTATTTTATTTTGCTGTGATCTTTGTTAGACTAAGAGCTTTCATAGACTTGGAATAATTTCTGATAGTAAAATAGCTGAGCTTTTAATCTCCTGAAAATGCTCACTTATTGTTTAAATTGAATATTACTTTTGGCATCAAATAGCCAAAGTTCTCAGCTTCCTTATATAGAGGTAGACTGGCTTATAAGTTCTTATTTTCTCTATAACATGTGGATGGTACAGTGAGAAACTTTGAAGTTAGACTTTAGATTAGAGTTTATATATTTTCTTTGCAGGAAAATTTGGCTTCCAATAAAATTCATATATGAAACACTCATGTATTTTCAGTGTTCTGGAAATCATGGCAGTGGTTTAAGATTAAACAGACTTTTCTCATTGTTTTAGACAAGCCAAAGAGGAGAGAGATTTATTTATTGTGGAAAAATTTTAAAATAGAAATTTAGAATAATGATAATGACATTATTGATATTTAAAAGTCAGCTATCGACACATGTATTTTTCTCTATCAATTCTTTATAGCTAATAATTTAAAGTTTTTACCATGAAATGAAGAAACAGCCTGTATGATAATAACTCAGATGATTAAGGAATAAGTTATATTTTCATATTGTGATGTAATAAGTTTATCTGAACCACAATGTACTTTTTATACCTGATGTACAACTTTGAACTTTGTTTTTTATTTTATTTTTCAAGTATGTATGTATGTATCTATGTATGTATTTATTTATTTATTTGAGACGGAGTTTCGCTCGTTTCCCAGGCTGGAGTGCAATGGCGCAATCTCAGCTCACTGCAACCTCCACCTCCTGGGTTCAAGAGATTCTCCTCCCTCAGCCTACTAAGTAGCTGGGATTACAGGTGCCCACTGCCATGCCCAGCTAATTTTTTAGTATTTTTAATAGTGAAGGAGTTTCACCATGTTGGTCAGGCTGGTCTCGAACTCCTGACCTCAGGTGATCTGCCTGTCTTGGCTTCTCAAAGTGCTGGGATTACAGGAGTGAGCCATCGTACCCGGCCTGAAATTTGTGAAGATGAAAAAAAAAAAAAAAAAAAAAAACTGGGCAAATATCAGTGACTTTTCCACAAATGTCAATAATTTTTTAAAAAGGACAGCAAGCTAAAGGATGTTAAATGTTTAAAAAGCTCCATAGAATTCTACTGCAACTCATTTTTAGAACCCTTAAAATTAATATAATTGAAATAAATTGCAAAGCAAATTTCACAGGGTATTCTTTTTCTTTAATAACAAGAATTTAACCCTTAACACCATGTAAAAATGTCAGTGTTTTCATTTGATTATGGCAGACTTCTCTTTTCTGACAACAAATGATTCATGTGATATTATCAATAAAAATGTAAAATGCCATATAAATGAACTTATATATGGAAAATGTAACCTATAGAATAAGATATGTATACAAATCGCAAGTCCAGTGTGCTTCTTGTAAAGAAAAAGTTTTATTCAGATCTTAGAGTCAAGCAATGAATTTATTTCTTTAATTGATGTTTTTATAATTGATACTTTTATTGAAGGTGTTTCATAGTTTATTTGCATAATTAAATATTAAGGCAAACTATGCCAGTTTGTTTTATAATCATGATCATTATGTGAAATAAGCTCAAACATACAATAAAGTTTAAAAGCCCTTACAAAAGACATTTCAGGAAACTATAAAAATACTTCTTTGAGTAACTGATACTCATTGTCAAGGAAGCAATATTTCTTTGGTGTTGGTTAGTAAATCTCTTGCACCTAGTTGTAAAGTATTCTGAAGTAAAATTTCTATAGAACCATAAAGAATCAGGTTTTTTAAAAAATAAAATTACATATGAACTTCATTATCCATAAGGAATAGCATCATAATTTGCACTTATTACTTATGAAAATATTTCTAGGATGGTAACGTAATTCATTATTACATAATATTTATTTCTCTCCTACTTGAGAAAAAGTGCTATGTAACATGATAATCTAAATTTAACAATACATAAAATAAAAAACATAGCATTTCCTTTATAATAGGCATATTAATAGGACAAGTATATGTGTTAAGGAAAGGGTTTATGGGTTAATAGATAAACAATCATATATTTTTATGTTGGTGATCATTTAATCAGTGACTTTAAAATTTCTTTCCATTTTAATTTAGGCAATATTATAGAAGTTGAAGTTGAGTTTGTTCAATGTGATATTTTTGTCATAGACTAAATACCCTAAGTCATGAGAGTTACATAAATTAAGATAAAACAAAAACCTACAGGTTGCTGTAATGTTCAGAGCTCTATAAGGTTTCAAAATGATCTTTACTCCATTGTAAGAATTATGATGTCATATGGAATGAAAGCTCCATAAAAAATCTGGATTTTTTGATATGTAGTATCAGTTTCATTTATTAATGATAGTTATGGTGATATATGATTCTGTGATAACCCACATATAATATCCATCCTAAGAATGACATGACCAAAGGCATTTGTAATTATATTTACTTCTGAAAGATTATGGTTTATAGTTAAAACAAAAGAGGCATCCTGTCATTTTCTAAACCCGTTAAATGTGACAGAATCTATTTTTCTGCCAACTTGTGAGGACCAGGCAGAGAGCAAATTTGCTGTGGTCAGCTAAGTGTAACCACTGAGCAGGAAAGTGAATTTAATAATGCATTATTGTTCTTCACTGAAGGTGAACTGTTACAGTGCCTTTGTTATAGCAGACTTTGCCTCTGCTTAGGTTTCCAGATGCTGTGTAGATTACCTGATTAAAATCTCTAATGCATGATAAAATGTACCAGGTATACTTTTATATTAACAGAAATGCATCCATTTTAGGGCCATAATACTGAATCTAATTGGAAACATTTTCCAATTATATTATCTAGTGAATTTATATTATAAATAAATATGATATACAATATAGAATAAATGACATGGAAGCCTAAATTCATAAAGTTTATCTCATGCCAATGATAGATCATTTTATTGATACTGAAATAAAATTTACCATATTTTTGATGCAATTAAGAATATGATCTTTTAAATCATCTTTATTTTGAATGTTATTTTAAAACAAAGTAAAAAATACAAGATACTCTTTAAAATACAACCAGTTCTTTCATGACCGCATTCTTTGTATTGCCCTTCCTTTTCCAGTTCCATCTTTTTTGATATTTTCTCTTACAAATACATTGATCAACCATAGTACTTTCATAAAAGTTTTAGTGCTGATTGAGTTGAAATGACAGGAAATAAATAAAGCTTGGTGTAATTTACTTTCTCTATTTTACCCAAATTTAATTCACTAAAAAATAAAATATGTGTAAAATAGCATCTTAAGAGAATTAGCCAGAAATACAAACTTTATTTAGGAAAGCAGAAATCCTCGGGGAATTTGTGCACATTGATTCCTTTTTTACTGCAAGTTTTTATATTGATTATAGTTCCTATCAGTAACATTTTCAGAGAGTTTATGGATATATTGCAGATTGTGGGCTTCTGTTAACCACTGGTATTATAGGCTCATGGTTGATAATCAAACAGTTAATTTTATAGTTAATTCTGACAGGTTTCTAGAAAGTCTTTCGAAGGAAAGATTTTCTGTAGTCCACAACTGAAAGGGTGCACACAACCTAATCTTTGGTTGTCATTGCTGAACTTTATGGTTAAGAGGCAAAGAAAAGCATTTTTCTGAATATCAAGAGCACCCATCAATGAATATCACTACGGGCCATAGAACATGCAAGTTCAAGAGACAGAAGCAAAACAGGAGTTGACAAAAAATAGTAACAGCTAGACCCGGTGTGAGAGTGTTTTTATACAACAGTGAATGAGAAAATGATTTTCACTATTTCTTGCCTCTTAACAAATAGAGCTGTGTGTATATGGCAGAACCATAACAATTTCAGCTGTTATACATTTGCATTTTGAATATTTAGACATTAAACATTTAAATCTCATTCAAAAGATTAAAAAAATAAAATATAAGGAACTGTGCAACATCGAGGAATGAAAGATGACTTTTATGTGATAAACATAAATATCCAATAACTGCCTAAAATAAACTCTGAAATTACCATGTTGACAATGTTATTTCCTCTTTTTAAAAGGACAAGAAATATGAAACGAAATTGAAATGCAACAAATACATGTTTTAACCTGACCCTGAATCTTGTGTTTATTTTTGTTTTAAATAAAATCTAGAGCTCCGTAGGTAAGATAGGTGCCAGCATTTGAAACTGCAGTCATTTTTAAACTGAGTATGTTTTTATTTTTAAACTAAATGTACTATGCTGTTTGCATTTCCTAAAAATATCCAGAAACTCTGGTAGTTTGTTGTTCAGTGCTCCCCTGGAGAATTCATGTGAAGGTCTAAATATTTTATACTGTTGATTTTATTAAAATGTGAAGATCCATTTTGTGACCGTGTAAATGGAATGTCAGTGTTTCCCTTCGAAGTTCACATTCCCTTGCCTGTGTTCTGCATATTCCTTTTCCTTGCTCAGAATTCTTATATAGGTAAGGAAGACCTTCCAAGGTTTCTTTTGCCACGCTTGCTTCTCCAAACACTACAATAAAATCATTTTGATGAAGTAATTGTGTTTTTTTTTTTTGAGGAAAACAAAACATCAGAAACACTCCCATTATAGAACCACTAGTTGGGATTATCTACCCTAATGTATCTTCTTTGTAATACTCATGTATCACCTCTGTAATCAAATGACGAAATTGAAGATGGCACTGAACATTTCATTCTATGATTGAAGTAATTAGATTTTTAACCTTAGTATTATTTGAATCGGTTCCATTTTCTAGCCTTGAGAAATAATCAATGTGGAATACTTAAAAGAGCAGTGGCCTAGTGTGGGGCATTGAGTTTTAAAGGTCAAAAACAATAGTGTAATGTGAGATGCAGTTTATGAGTGATTGTGTTTGCTGGTCTAGAGAAGTAGAAAAGGGTTCATCGAAAATTCAGAAGCTAGCATATCTGATGCATAAAATGAGTTGGATTTTTGTGGGTGATATTTAAACTCATAGAGAAAATATCTACATGGCTCATGTATTTATGATTTCAGTAGAAAGAACCTTATGAAAAAATACAACAAATATAGTTTTACATTTTTATGTTTGTCTAGTAAACAGAAAATATTCATTGAGCAGCTATTCTGGATCAAGCTAGATAATTCCAACTAGATAATTGGAAATACAGACAACAAGGCACCTCATGGAGTACAATTTTTAATGGAGAAGACAAATTTGAGACAAAATTGAAGTTTAGTGTGATAAATCTAAAAACTACAATATTTTCAAGATGGGATTGAGAAATGACTAATCATGAAGGAGCCTTTGAAGACTTTATTTATTCTCTCTATGGAACTCTAACATTGTTATCATATAGACATTCCTGAAATTTCTTTGCTTTTCCCTACTTCTGCCTTTTTTCCCTTCAATTATTCATTGAGGTCTGAGGACCAGGCACTGTTCTAGCTGCTGGAAGCAAGATGATCAACAAATCCCCTGCTCTCATAAAATTTATATTCTTATCAAAGATATCAGCAATAAGCAAGTAAATGATAAACACAGAAACGAACATATGAACTTATATTAGTTGGTGTTTTGTGTATGACAGATAAGAGACTGGGAAATGTGATAGTAGCTAGGGTAGGCTTTCATACATAGGATGGCACCAAGAGGCTTCTCTGGGCAACATTTGAACTGCGGCTGAATGATAACGCAAAGGCAGTCATGGCAAGTTCTGGTGCAGTGGAGCTGGGGAGACATTTTAGGCAAAGAGACCAGCAGGCTCAAAGCCCTCAAGCAGGATGAAACTGGCATGAATCCTCTTGGCCAGAGCATAAAGATTAAAGCAGACACATGGTAAGATGAATTCAGGGAGGTAGGGAAGTGATCAGAGCCTGGAGATGTTTGCATTCTTTGGTAAGAAGTTTGTATTTTATGAGTATCTTTTGAGGATTTTAACCAGAGGAATGACAGGATTCTAATTGATTTTTGCATTGAAAATATATAATGGTGTGCGGAGCTATAATTAAATAATAAACTAATTAAGAGGCTATTAAAGACCTCTAGGTGAGAAATGATGGTGACTTTGACTAGGGTGTTGGCAATTAAAGTGGAGAGAAATGGATTGATTGAAGTGGTGTTGAGCGGATTTCTTGAGGAATTTGATAATGGGGAAAGGATGATAGAAAGAGAAAGCTCAAGAGTGTCTCCTACATTGAGGTTTGCATGCTTTGTGAAGTCTATCCTTGTCAACCACCTTCAACCCACCATTCAGCTTAGTGCCCCACACAGAATAAACACTCCAAGTTTTTGTTGAATGAATGCATGTCATAATATTTATTGAAGTTGATCTGAGGAATGAAACTTGGCACATAATTTCCATAAATGTAGAATCCTTGGATTTGCAGCCACTGGGCAACAGATGCAATCAAGGCATAAGGAAAAAATGCAATTATTATTGAGACAGTCTGTTTCTTCTCATTATTATGCTCTGTCTCTTAGAGCACACTGCCTCCAGGTCCGTAATCTCCTAAGTATTTACTATTAGCCCTAGGGTTTGAATAGCAAGGATGTGTCAAGAACTTTCACTAGATATGAGATTTCAGCATTCCATAGACTAACACTTTAACCAAAGTATCTCTACCTAGATCTTTGGGATAAAATTGCGCTTGAGAAAGATTTCTCCTGATAAAACTTTTTGAAAGCAATTATTTTGAGTGTAAATTTTAGTTGTTTTGAATTTTGATGTTTCTGAATACATTTATCAATAAGATACAGTTATTTAAATTAGATTTAATTGTTCTAATTTCTTATTTCAAGAGATGATAAATTTAGCTGGATCAGTATTGTTAAATTTTTGACTAGAATAAAGTTTAGGAGGAACAAATCAATACATTTCTCTTAATCATTTACTATCAAAATGAAATAAAAGTAAATAGTTTTATCAAATAAAACAAATATGAGAATTAATCATTTAAAGATAGTAATACCGTAATTATTATGTTTAACCAATTTCTACGTCAAGTTTGGTGGGAAATTTTCAGTCATTATTATCCAAATAAACTACTCTATGTACTTAAGTGCATGTTTTTACTTTGATTTAGTCAACTTGGAAGACAATGTTAAACTATTGTTCAAAACATTTTTAAAAAAAATCATATAAGATAGCTTATTGAATCTTCAAAATATTTATACAAATATTTCCAGTTGTTATAGAGCTTGTTCTAGGTATTCTGGGAAATTATCAAAAAGATATAAAATCAAGATTGGTAAATAAACTATGCGCACGAACAAGCTAAGTAATACAAGAGGACACTATAAATATTTGTATGGAAAATAAATTCAGCATCAAAGCAGTGTCTTGGGGGGAAAAAAATGCGCCTGACTTTATTTAAACCTTTTTTAACCCTTTGAACTGCTGAAGGAATTTACCATATTTGTTAATTAAGGAATATTTACCATGTTATTTTTATATGAGATTTGCTAAGTCTGTCTCCTTATTTCATGACCAAATTTGTGATAATCACAATCACTCTTTATTTTTGAGTTCTTGGTTAACAATAACATTCCAAATTTTAAATGAAAATCTTAATGATACATTATTTGGAAATTCTTATACATGCTAAAAGCCAGTTGAACATTTTAAATTTTGTAAAGAAAATTCACATGATATACACCGATTAGTATGTCTAATAACATCTAAAAATGCAACATCTATAAATATGCTTCTTTAAGGTTTTTCTAATACCAAACCTTAATCAGTATTATACATTATAAATTGTATAATACAGTGTTAATATACTGATAATGGTAAGCTTGGTTTTCTAAGTATTATTTTTCTATCTTAAAAATTAAATAAATTATGTAAAACATTTAATATTTATTAAAATAGTTTTATGAAACATAGAAAAACTCTGATTTGTTAAGTTATTATTCTGGGAGTTAAAGAGTCAGATAGTCACTAGATCTTTTTCCACGTGCTTTTAGCTTGTTCCTCACCTCTTTCATATGAAAATAAAATTACATTCTTCTAAAATTTCAGCAGCACTATTTGCATAGAACACTCATTTAGCTCTTATAAACAAGGACAAAATTAAGTGCACAGTTTTACTTGAATGGGTACATTTAGTGATAAATTTCAACTTGTTTTTCGTTCAATCATCCATGCACCACTAAAGATGAGTTATAACTTTATTATTTTTATGATATTGTATGACAATGGAATTTAGTTATTATTGTTTTAAATTTTACCTCTTATTCATTTTTTTCTCCACACATCAGAAGAGTTCTTAATGTAAGTATTAAAGATTTAAAATTATATTTTATATTTAATTTTAAAATCTAGATACTGTTTCTTCATTTCTTTTCCTTCCCCATAGTTACAATTGCTCACTTTGGGCATCATCAAAACATTGTCTACTCTTAAAAACTAAAAGTTCTGGTGTTGATGTTTTGCTTAATTTTAGAAGTAGAACTTCAATATGATCAATATGTTTTTACTTTTCATAATGGTTTATGTAGATATTATTAAAGTAATAAATATTTCTCAATGATTTCAAATCATTAACAAAGTAAATATGCAATTAAATTAACGAGCATAATTTAATATTAAAGACAATTAACTATTTTTTAAATATTTTTGTCCTTTTATTGTTGCTATTGATTTTTGAATTTTTCCTTCGATTTATGTATTTCATGTTTAGTATACCTTCAGTCTATCAAGAAAGTAAACAATAATAAAAATGTAAATCAACATAAAAAATATTGCCTCACATTGAGAGAACATTTCAAAGACTTTTTATCAGTTGTTCATTTTCCCCTGTCAGATGTTAAAATCTTTTACTACCCCTCATATTGCACAGAAATGCTGGTCTACTGATAGTGTCTTCTTGTAGCTAAGCTGTGAAGAAGTCAAAATTTCATTTTGTAAAGGCAGTTATCACGAGGAGTGCTGCAGGCCTAGGTTATTGGTCCTTATTTAGCCGACCCAGAGATAAGATGTCTAATTTCCTGACCAAGCTTCTCATGTGTTTATGTAAGTCTTTCTCTCTCTGTGCCACTGGGGTGGGGTGGAGAAAAAGAGAAATGACCCTTGTTGAAATACCAATAAAAAATACATACTGATGCTATTCCTCAGTACTCTTTTATTCTGGATACCTAGCTATCAATACAGTAAAGTGTGTGTGTGTGTGTGTGTGTTTGTGTGTGTGACACACACTCAGAGAGAGAGAGAGAATGAGACAGAGAGATAGACAGAGAGAGACAGAGACAAAGAGAAAGCAAGAAAGGAAGACCTGATAAGTACATTCCCATAGAGATTTCATTGAACTAAAGAGAGAGTGAAAATATCAAGCTGTTTTATAGGAAAATGTAGAAAAGGTACTGAAGAAAAGACCCTTAAATAATTTGATGAGATTATTTTGAATGGCATATTAGAATTTAATATAGGCCGGAAATAACTGTGGTCATGACTTTAAAGTAATATCAACATCATAGTATTTAAGCCTAATTTAAGCCACTGAGGAAAATTAGGCAAATAAGTAACAGCCAAGCTTGGAGTTTTGTCCTAAAAGATATAAATTTCACTGTCACGTTTCCTTTCCTTTTCTCATGCTGATCTTTAGATTGAAAATACGAGGAATTACTTATGAAACTTTTTTATTTCCTTGAAAGCTGACTTCCAAATGAAAAATAGGGAAATGGAGAAAATATTTCTCTAAAAAAATTTCTCTAATTGCAATTAATGGAAAATATAGGAAAAAAATCTTATACGCTTTGAAGAGCTTTTCTCTGACTCACAGTCTTCATTGTCTTTTCCTAATAATTTTTTAAAAGAATGTTATTGATATCTCTCCTGATTTGTTTTTTTTTTAAGTCTTAAAACAATTTTCCTGACCAGTTATTCTAAAAGTAAAGTGGTTTATCGGTACAAGCAGGTAAAACCTGAATAGTTGTCTCTAATCAGATAAAAATATCTCCTACATGTTTCTTGGATTCAATTGTGATTAACTTTTCTCAGTATAATGTATCCCATAATTAGAAAAATATATTCTTATCATTATTTAAAGTTAGGCCTAGCCTTGTATATTTATTAACTAGAAAATTTTATTTGATTCATAAAAATAAAACTAACAGTGAAATATATTTATATATGAGTTGATATAATCACAACTACCCCAATTATTTTAAGATGCTAAAACAAATGCAAACCAGAAGAGGTTATTAAAGCTGTAGTCATAGATTATTTAGATAGAAGCATTTTTTTCCTAAATCTATTTCCCTAAAGGGGAAGGGAGCTGAAGTATACTGGCTGAAAGCCTACTAGGTACCAGGATCCTTTAAACATGTGAACACATTAGCTAGGTTTACGCCTTTCAGTTCTCCCCAATATCTCTTTCTTCATCAGTAGCATACATTTTTCATAATTAACATAATTAAGGTATATATTTATTCATTTTTATTTTCATAAATATTTTCCAGTTACTTTTACTTTGGTATTGGAGAGCCCTTTCTAAATTCCTTTTGGTGGAACGGGAGTTAGTAAATAGTAAATTTCCAAAAGTGTCAAATGAATATCTGAAAAATTAAAATGCATTTAATTTCATAAATATTTCTCTTTACTCTTTTTTCCCTCTCCCTAGTATTTCTGAAATTCAACTAAATTCTTAAACAGATAGGAAATATATCTTTTTCTTAAACTCTCTTGAAAGGTTAGATTTTAACAATATAGTCTAATAATGCAATGTATTTGAAAACCCCAAAGAACTATTGCCAGCTAAAATTATCTTTTCAAAATGATGGAAATCTAAGGATGTAACAAGTGTCCATAATGGAACCAAGGACTTTATCATTATTTGGTTATCAGAGACCTTAGAAAAAGTAGTTCACTAATATCATTAGCTTATATTCTGCTTTCCAAATGAAAGAGAGAGTGAACATTGTAATAGTAAGAAGTTATTGAATGCCTAATATGCACAAGACACAGTATAGTATGCACATATATATATACACACATACATGCACATGTATATACACACACATATATATGTGATTATTCCTCAAAAGAATGATATAAAAATATAATATTTATTTTAAGAATGAGGTCTAAATACTCAATGTGATCGAACAGGCATTCCAAAGAGGTCTTTGACCTGTGAGCCTGTGTTTTTCATTTTGCTACCCTGTTTAGAGAACAACACTTCCGAAAACAAACAGAAAATGACAACATTAATAACAAAATTACTCAGAGCCCTTAAAAATCTTACTTCTATTTCCCAGTAATGTCATCTCCACAGATGTGTATTGGGAACTGATTTTTTTATCTATTCCTTTGCTTGCATGTTTTAATATTTCAGGAGTTAACAGGCCAAGTCCTATTTCTGAGTTCATTAAAAAAAATTGATAAGCTCATTATGCAAATTAAATTTATTAGACAGAGTTTTACTTTGTGCATCTCATATGAGATTATAAAGTTTCAGAATTCATTCTAGAGGGCCTCATCCATAGTTGTACACCTCTTAGAGATTTGCCATTTGAGTTTTTCTTCAATTCTCATATACTTATTCAAGGACAAATATCTCTTCTTTATTTATAAAGTTATGAAGACCTCCTTAGACCTTTCTTCAATAGGTGCATGTGAACACAATGTATTTGAAATTTGGTTATGTTCTGAAATAGTTTGAATGAACTTATATTTATACATGCATGATAAATATAAATAATTTAATAAGACATAAAATCCAAATAAATTTAGTCATTGTTAAACTAAATAACTCTTCCCGAAAAGTTAGAGGAATACTCTCCTCCTAATAAGATATGTGTAAATGTTCATATTGACAGAATTCCTGTTGTTTAGTATCTAACAAGAGGAAGCTATCTACATAAATTATAAAATTTTTCAGAATTATCTCACTTTTGATATAGTTATATATATGTTTTTCTAACTAACTTTCCACCACCTGCCTTCTCCATCTGTCCTCCATCCCTTACGTTGATCATAAGAAGGGAAGAAAAATAAGCCGGGAGATGATACTCTAAATCCAACTTAGAAATTATCTTTAGAATTCTTTCTTTCTTTTACTTTATTTGGAAGGAAATAAAATGGAATAAAATAAAAATTATTTTTACAGATGAAAGAAATCTGAGGTCTTTACCTTTCTACACTTATTCAATATGCATTTATTAAATATTAATTATTTGACATGATGTCAAAGTATTAGTTTCTAATATTAAGGATATGATTATCTTAATTCACAAGATGATCGGCAAATGTAATTTGCTTGTCTTTTTTTTCCTTTTGCCTTTATGAAAGAATTAGAGGTCTGTAAATTACCAAGAGAAATGAGATGTGAAACTGAGAAGGCAAGTCAAGTAGGCATGTTAGAGGCAACTGACTACTTTAGGCAGGGCTGCAAGCTCACTTCTTCCACTATGGGTTCTCGGCCAACCCTTTTTCCTTTTCTAAAAAGAACAATGTTGTAATCTCGTTTAAAAGTTCAAATAACTTTTTTTTTTAAATTAGTGTCTTTGTCCTTGTCCAAATAATGTAATGTAACTTTCTTTTAACAAAGAATAAGATAAAATGTTTTAAAATAATCATTACCATGTGAGTTAGTAAACTGTAGAACAGACAGCAAAGAGTACACAAGAACAATTATGAAAACATGCTTTCTCTTTCTGCAAGTGCAATGTGACCTCTGAATTGATATATAGCAATAAGAGAGCCTTATTTGTGGTTCCATGCTCTTCTAGTAAAACAAGTAACATTAAATTTTCTCTAGTGTTCCAAGTCATATATGTCCACAAAGCATTACATATTTTCAATGATGGTGTTGTGTTACTCATTCATACTTTTAGTACTTCATTTTCTATCTTCAGTGTTCAATTATTTTGTGTTTATTTCATATGGCATGAAAGGTCTTTTAATTTGATTTAGATAAGACCTTTCAAAAAGAGAAAAAGCCAACATAATGCAAATATCATTTTTTAACTGCTACCTAACTTGACAAAAAAGATCTATTTATGTAAGTATTTTTCTTTATCAATTAAAGTTTATTAATTTGACTTTCATTGCTTACACTCTAATGGCCATTTTCCTAAAAATACTATTTCCCAAAATGTTTGTTTTCTACAGTATCAGTTACTTTGGATCTTATCTTTGGCAAAAATAAAAATAAAATATTCACAAACAACATGGAGGTTGTTTGAAACTTTATCATCTTGATTAATGGTTTAAGGATGGTGAGTTGTTGAGTTTGCACTTAAAAGATGAATGGTGATATACAGATGCAACTGGATTATTCCATTTGACAAAATTATATATGAAAAAGTTATCTGAAATCTTTAGTGAATATTCTCCGAAGTTATTTTCCAACAGCATAGCACAAGAGAGAGAATAGAGGCCTGGTGGCAGGTGAACCTGGGTCCACATTGCAGTTGCCACATCTACGATTTGTATAAATATAGACCAATAAAAACTACCCAAATCAGCTGGGCGCAGTGGCTCACTGTAATCCCAGCACTTTGGGAGACCGAGGCAAGTGGATTTTGAGGTCAAGAGATGGAGACCATCGTTGCTAACATGGTGAAACCCCATTTCTACTAAAAATACAAAAAATAGCTGGGCGTGGTGTCAAGCGCCCACAGTCCCAGCTACTCAGGAGGCTGAGGCAGGAGAATCACTTGAACCAGGGAGGTGGAGGTTGCAGTGAGCCGAGATCGCACCACTGCACTCCAGGCTGGGTGACACAGCGAGATTCTGCCTCAAAAAAAAAAAAAAAAAAAAACCCAAATCACAATATTGTTTGATGTACTATGTGAAATCACATAACAGTAACATTAATACAACTTCTGGCACATAAGAAGTGCTTTATTTGCATTTCCCTTACCATGTGTTACCATACTCCCAGTTTCACTTTTGGTAAATATATACATTTCTATTATCTGTTATCAATTAAAGGTCCCGTCTTAATGCATAGTTGCCAATTAACAAAATTCACTAGATGTGAGATTTAAGAACATTCTGTTTTAAATATTCTCTAATATTAATACCATTAGTAATGATACTAATTTGCCTATTTTTAATATTAATATTAATAGCTACCTTTTATAGAACATTTAGTGTGAGACAGTACTCTGTTTTGTAGGTAGGTTATCTCCAATCTTCAAATGACTTGCAAGGTGGAAGTTATTATCTTTAGTTTCCAGGTGAGGTTCTGAAAGGTTAAATGACTTGTCTAGGTGGACACAACTATCATGAAGGGAAACTGATGTTAAAATCTGTTTTTCCGGCCCGGTGGATCACGAGGTCAGGAGATCGAGACCATCTTGGCTAACAGGGTGAAACGCCGTCTCTACTAAAAATAGAAAGAAACATTAGCCGGGCGTGGTGGCAGGCGCCTGTAGTCCCAGCTACTCGGGAGGCTGAGGCAGGAGAATGGCGTGAACCCGGGAGGCGGAGCTTGAAGTGAGCCGAAATCACGCCACTGCACTCCAGCCTGGGCGACAGAGCGAGACTCAGTCTCAAAAAAAAAAAAAAAAAAAAGAAAATCTGTTTTTCCGTTTCTAAAATCTGCTTTTTCCTGAAGCAGTGTTATTCCTTGAAGAAAACATATATTCCATAGTTGATGAAATTAACCTGTAAATAGGTGAATGTATTGATTTGAATTCTAAACTGCAGTCTCATCTATAGAAACTTTATTTTTTACACTTGATATATTCCCCGGTACGATCATTGAATTATTCTAAACAACTTTTTCTTGCCCTTATGTCTGAATGAATGGTATATACGGTGTGTCATCTTTGAAAAACACAACAACATATTTCTTTCCTTCTATACTAAATCTGCTTGAAAACTAATTGAAAATGTTGGATTATTCTTTCTCATTTTTATCAGATTTGTAGATTATCTTACATTCACAAAAATCTCATGGACAAACATATCTACATTTGCATACCTTAATCATTGTTTCCCATAACATTGTTATCATCTTGAACTGTTATATGGTTATATGCCTAAGAGTTAAGGGATTCTTTAAAAAAAAAAGTGTTAACAAATTTACCAAGGACAGTTCAAAGACCTTTGTCATTTTTTTTTTATTAGTAACTTGCAGTTTCATGTTGTTTGTTTAGTTTTTACTACCTTTTTCATCCAGAAAAATAAGTAAAAGCCAATATAGCTTTTGAAATGGAAAAATTGTTTCAAATCATTGGCAAAGCTTAATGACTTCTGACTGCTGAGATATGTTAATTTAAGCCAGACCAAATGTTCCTCAGCTGCAAATATTTGGTGTTGTTCACTGGGAACTGGCAAGATTTATGAGGGCCCAGTGGCAAAGACTCTGTGCTCATATCCCTCTCATTGTAATTGTTTCCCATGTTCAATGATGAAGGACCGATACGGAAGAAAATACCAACTTTTCAGGGGTGGTCACTTAGACTCAAATAAGATGCTATTTCACATTTGATTTACTATGGCATCCTCATGCCATCTTAGTTATCAAAGCCCTTTCAACTTTTCTACTCCAATTTTGGGAAAATACAATCTGTTACTATCCAAGTTGCTCCGAAGTTGCAACGCAAAGAAGGAAATGACTTACATTTGGCAATTTGTAACTATAAGATATGCAATGGTAATTTAAAAGTTATATGAGTAATGTGTAGTACAAATATAAGTATAATATGCTTATATTATTTTTAACAGCATTTTAACCTCTTTTTATAAATTAGTTGTGATGCATTCAAGAATAACCAAAGATATTTTAATTTAAATTAAATTAATAATTTAATCATTATTTACTAATTTAAATAATTGAAATAATATTAAATTGATCTTGCAAACATATTGAAGGCAACTCACATTCTGCAAAGACAAAAAGTAATGCTGTTAAATACACATGAAAATTTATATTTATGTGATAATCATTTACTGTTTAGAAGTATTAATAATTGCAAGTGTTTTTAATACCTCTTAAAGATTAGATATTAATAACAGAAATAATTCCAAATGAATATAATATACAAAGTTTAAGCTTTCCAACGAAGAACTGAGCCTAGGGCACATTCTGACACTGAAGGAGACAGCTCAGGAAGACTTCACTGAGAAGAAAAGCAAGTCTTAAATGTCTAACAATAATTCAGCAAATAGCTTTGTAATACTAGTGCAGACCACCTTGCTCTTACATAACAGTAAAGTTTATTGTAAGCATTCTTTGTATTAGTTATTATACATACATATATATACCTATATATATATATATATATACACACACACATATGTATGTATGATCATGGCAGAACAATTCTTACTTCAAAATGATTGCATTTAAAACTAAGTCATAATCAAACCTGTATATAGTGCTTATTATATACCAGATGCAAGTTTAAAGTTACATGCACTAATTCTCTGAGTTCAAAAATGACTTTTGGAAGTAGGCACTATTATTATTTTTCCCATTTTACAGATTAAGAAATAGATACCAGAAGATATTTGTAGTCAGTATGTGTGCTCTTAACCAGAATCCTTTATGACTTTTCAACTTCCGTTGTCTTTTAGGAAATAGGTCAACAATTATTTGCTTCCATTACAATATGATAAGAAAATGGAACTGCCAGTGAAGACAGAAAAGACCTTACATGTTTATTCAAATGCTTTGTTACATACCCTGAATTTTTATCCATATAAAGGCACAGCTGGTAAAATATATGGTATTTGTAAAAGGATGAATGTATTTGCATTTTGCATGTAATATCACAAGACTCTATGTATCGTTAAAAGAGTCAGTCTCTGCATTATTCCATATTGAATTCCTTAATTATGTATCTCTGTATAATAAAAGGAAAAGTGCTGACAGAATGCAGTAGAAAAATCTAAATTCTTTTCTTGCAATAAATGTGACACAGATTGTATAAAGCAATATTTTTGCCCTTGAAATGTTTAGAAGCATTGACATTCTGTCCACTAAATTGTCAGCTTGTCTTTAAGGTTAGAGCTTCTAAGTTCTTAGCATTTAACACACTGACATTGATCTCTTGGTTCTTCAAACTTGTATATCAGCAGCAGTCTCGACTTGATTTTGAAGCAGAGCATTAAAAATGTTATCCTTGATGGTGATATCTCATAATTTCCATCTATTATGCTAGGATTTTTGAATCAAGTTTCCAATCTTTAAGCTTCATTCCAAAAATACTATTAATCTTAAAGTTTTTGATAAGCTTAATGTTAGAAAATGTCTTAGTTATGAAGAAACAGTGAAGTAGATAATAAAATACAAATCTAAAAGCTAAAGTAACTAATCGGTTCCAGCCTGACAAATACTTAAAGAAACCATTTGAATAAGAATGTCCACAACACTTATTATTTTGTTTTGAGGACTTGGGTAGTCCTCATGTCTTCAATTACTTTCCCAAGATTATGGGAATATTTCCAAGAAAAAATAGGCATACACATACTCTTTATTTGTTAATTTTGAATTTGTGTCTGTGGGGAAAATAATTTATATTGTTTAAAATAATATTTATTAATTCTTGACAATAACGGGACTTTCCAGATAATGTTTTCATTAATCCATTAGTTGGTTAAAGAATCACAAAAAGAAATGTCAGTGGGATTTTTTTAAAAAAGATTTCTTTGATTCTCTCCACCCACAGGCTCTGAGCAAGGCAGTAAATAGTCCATTTTTGTTAATGAAGCTTCCCTCATACAGCTGGGATTGTTTAATATTTTACGAGTGTTACTTTGTTTTGCTCTCAACGATCTCAGGCAGTTAAGGATTTATGAATCGTGTTTTTCTCAGCCCATCTGCGGTTTCCTATCTTCCCTGGCCTTGAGAATATGTTTAAATTTATTAAAGCGAAGCAAAGGCTCATTATTTCAAAGGAGAGCCAAAGTGACACAGTGAATTGGTTATTAATGGAAAGGCACTGCCATAGGGCGATTGAAATTTAATGATATCCTACAAGAAAAAAATGAGGGTGTCACTTTCCAAAAAGTCATGCTAAATGCCAGCCTTTTTAAGGTCCTGCCGCTAATTTTATGCCTGCGCACAGTAATGTTTTCAAAAGCGTTTAGGAAACACGGACCAGTGACTGTACTGATTATCCTTTTCACCTTCGCGCCTGTTCCAAATGGGTTTGTGCAGTGAGCGATTTAATCTCTAAATATAGGGAACGTTAAAAAAAAAATAACATTGCTGTTTTTCACAAGCTAAGGGCCTTTTGCAATCCTCCGGAGATGGACTTGCAAATATGCTATCTCCATATGCTCTCAATAAGCTCTCAAACTGGCGGATCACCAAAAAAGAAAAAAAGCAATCCCTTCATTTTTTTTATTTCTGTCATTCAAAAGATGTTTTAATGTCATAGTCTACAAACTATATTTATTAATACTCAGCTAACATTCAGCTTGAGCTACAAAATGGGATTTGACGTAATTTAAGTTTTCCTTATTTAACTTAGGCTCTTCATTGAATTACAGTATCGAAAGACCAAAATGCCACTTCATCTCGCCCCATTTAATGCAAACCAGAGATGCCTATCTATTAAAAAGCACACTTTGTTGATATATTGAATCATTCTTTTTAGAGTTACTGACTCAGTGATTTCCTGTATTAATTGAAATATCCATAAATTATTTTTAAAGTTATCTCAAATTCCTCTAGAAAAAATTGTTGACATGATAATGTAGCAATCATGCTTCAGGACATTATTTGCCATACAGATTTCTGAAAGCCTGGTTTTCATTTTACAGCTTTTGCTTTATTTGAATTATTCTACAAGTGTAATCACTGTGGTCCTAATGTTTTTCTCTGTATCTCTTTCAAATATGTTATTGAAATTTGAAGAGAATCGCCAGGAAATGGCACAAGTTAAATTTAGGGTTTTAGTTCAATTAGACTTGTGATTCAGCAATTTAAGCAATGTGTTAATTACATGAAGTAAATACGAACATTTTTAATGCAAAAACAGCATTGGATCTAGTTTTAATGCATCTTTACTTGCTGAATATAAACTAAAATGTAAATGGTGCATTTGACATGCACTGTGGTAACATATAATTTTCACATACTGCATATGGTAAAATTAAATTGTCTACTGGTGGCAAACAGTTTTTGGAAGTAGAATAGAATGAGTTCTTTTTCCTGTTTATGACAAAACACGTTATTCGAGAATTTATGAAATTAATTTTTAAAAATTAAATTTACACTCAATTCAGAATTACATTAATAAGATTTTATAACTTGTGATCACACATTGGGGAACTTTTCATTTATTCTAGGTCAGAGTGTGAATCTGAATAGATGAGAATAATGTTCAAATCTAAGAGACAGTAATGCATCTTGTAGGAGAAAAATCACTTGGAAGAGGGTGTCAAGGACCCACAGTTTAAATTTCTCTAGGCCCTTCCTCTCTTTTTACAGTAAACTTATCATCCTATAATCTTCCTAACAAAGACATAAACACTTTGGCTACATATATTTTGATTGTTTCACGACAGTTTACTGGAGGCTGAGCAATGACAGATTTCTTCATTGTCTTTTAGCCAAAATTTGTCCTTTAAGTCATTTTTGTTGACTGCCCCTTTTAGCAGCTCACCTCACAATGAGAGAGAAGACAATTAATGGGAGGGTGATTTATCACTGCCAAAAACTGTCAAGGACTTCAGTTGTAGCTGGAGAAAAAGCAATTTCACATTATGGCATTTCATTCTGAATACATTGTATTTACAGCACACAGTTTTATTTTCAGAGCCTATTATCAGGTGAAACAGTTGCATCTGAAATGTTGTTTGTGACATAGGTGACCTGTTAGGATTTGATAAGTATTTACGCCAGAGCACAAGGGGCTCACACATCTGCTGTTGGCAGAAGCAATGGAAAAAAATAACCTGGAAATGAGGCGTTTGATTTTTCTGGTTCCTACACTCGAGCATCTGTTGCTATAATTAAGTGGCATTCAGTAATTGCAGAGCAATGGTGAAATAAACATATGCATTCTTGCCAGCTTTTAGGATTTGGTGTCCTTACAGTAGGAGAGACAAGCAAAGTAACTTCAGTAAGAACAAAAGGTTTTGTAGCAAAGTTTAACAATTAACTTTTCGATAAAAGAGAGAAAAGAATTTCACATTAGAAAACAATTTCATCAAAAAGCGAAATAGTATACAGTTTTAGAAGAAGGAAGTCCCAGAAACATTCAACCCTTGGAATAAACTTTTCATCTGTATGGATGTCGAAATGGGTTAAACTGTCATTCCTGAATGTTATATTACAGGAGAGTAAAAGAATAATAAAAATATAGTTATTACTCATATTAATGGTATTGTGCCATGAAATAGAGATTATAGTGAAATCTGTTTAATAAACTGAAGGTTGTATTTGGTGAGTTATAAGAAATCAACATGTATGCACTGGAAGTGATCCTCCCTCCTCAGCCTCCAGAGTAGCAGGGACTACAGGTGCTCACCACTGCGCTTGGTTTGGAACTTGACTTTTAATAGCAGTATGATGGATTATTTGGGGCGAAAGTAGTGTTCTCATCAAAATAGACAGAAAGCGATTCTCAAGGTAGGGAGGTGCGGCGTGGTGGTAGGAAGGGCTGCAGCAGAACCTCAGGTTTTTTTGATTTATAATCCACAAGTCTCAACCCTCTTCCCCCAGTACTTCTGAGATCTGAATCTCAATGTGGAGGGAAGAGTTTGAAAAAGCTACCCAGTGTCTTCTGAGGTGTTCTCATTGCCACTCACCCCACATTGCAGAGAATGTTTTGCCTGTGAAACAAATAATAGTTTATATTAGCAAAACTTGAAAGCTCTCTGCTTATGAATACTACATCCACTTACTAAAAACAATTCTTTGATTAATATGCTTTATGTTCCATTAGTTATTCAGAACAATCCAGATTCTTCCACAAACAGAGTAGAACAATTTGGATTTGGTTGTTATACTGTAGTAGTTTGCAGTTTCCTGGAAATGTCACATGACAAATTCCATTGTGCTATAAATAGTTCCACAACAATGACTTTTGAAGTGAAGAGAAAATGTGAAATTCAAACTCTATTGAAATCGAAGTTTTAGCATATATTGTTAAAGTTGAATAGTTTTCATTATTATTAGTATGGACAGTATGGTGTTTAAGTAGATAAAGGTACAGTTACAAAGGTGAGGCTCTTCGTCTTTAAACCATTTGAGAGGGAACCATGAAGCTTAAGTATGGTGTAGAGGCTGACCGCGTAGGCGATTTGGCATTTTTATGTGATGCTCTGGGATCAGGTGATTACTTTACTTTCTGGGTGAAGAAAAGACATGAGGAATCACCCATGAAGAGATGAGAATGATAGATTATGGCTTCATAGTGTCAAAAAATGTTGGACATCTGCTTAGAGGAAACCATATAGGAATAACAGTTACCTTGCCTTTGAAAGACTGAAGAATCATTTTGAAGTTCCTTTTTTCTTTCCTCCAGGAGGTGGTTTTAAAATGTGTTTTAAAATAGGTTTAAAATTTTGGATTCCCATTCAAGCAGTATTGAATAGTAGTGAGATTTAGACCTATGTTAAACCTACATATATTTATACATCTCTATCTACATCCATATCCATATTCATATGTGTATATTTTTAAGATGACAAAATCATAACCTATTATAAAGGGGACAGAAAGAAAAATATGGTCCCTGCCCTCCATTTGCTTTCAAAAGGTATAGTATTAATAGAAATCTATTACATGCACACACTATATGCCAAATATTATTCTAAATACTAGAAGTGTAATAACTTAGTCCTCACAGCAACTTACAAGACAGCTGCATTACTGTTATCTCCATTTTACAAATGAAGATAATAAGACAGAGTCCAAGGTCATGTGGCTAATAGATAGCAGTCAGGTCTGGGAATTGAATTCCAGCAGTTTGGCTCCAGAGCCCATGCTCTTTGCCACAATGCTATTCACTTAAAATAATGATGAATACAGACATGTTTTCTGGACCTGTAGAGTTTAGAGCTTAAAAGTGATGTAGCTTAAATGTATGTATGCTTTATAAGTGGGAAATATAGTATATATGCTTACAAATTATCTTTTTAGCCTACATATCTGCCTACTAACTTACCTTCTCACCTAACTACCATAATACTATGATATTATTGGAATTAACACTATGTTAATATTGATTTTAAATTTCCCTTTCTTCTTTCTCCAATGCAAGGATCTTTGTACTTTCATATACTTCCTGATATCAGGCACACAGGCTGCTATTGTTAATTCAATTTCCTTTTAAGTCTAACTATCTCCCTTGGATGAACTATTCCTTGATTTTATATGTAATTGTCTATAATTGTATAACATAGTTTTTTTGTGTGTATAGTTCAATCTATACTGTCTATACTTAAACTATTTATTTTGATTGTAATCAATAATTTGTCCCTAGCATTTTATTTTTTGGTTTACATACTAGATTCCTGGATCCTTATTAACTTGTCCTTCTAAACTTACATATGATTATCTCCTTTAATTTTTTTCTCAAAAGTCTTCATTATTTCACCTTCCCTAATTCTTGTTTAGAGTTTTGGGGACAAGCTTCAATTTATTCTATATTTAATCTGGATAGTCTAAAATAATTGCAATAGCATTTTACAAAAATCCTGTGGATTGAACTGTTTCTTCATTTCCATGAGGTTTGATGCTCTGGCAAGAGTATGGCATTATTACACCTAATTCTTACCATAATCTTCTGAAGATGGTACCATTTTATCTCTGTTTTAATGATGAGGAAATCTAGATCAATAATGGGATACAACTGCCCAAGACTCAGAGTTTAAGAATGACAAAACATGGAAGAAACCCAAATTTGACTTCAACTAGTGCTTCTTCTCTCTAAGCTGCCTTATACTCCAGTGGCTTTGGACTTGTTTTGTTTCCATTTGATGCTAAAATTATTTTATATATGGAAATTTTAGAAAATATAAGCAATGGCAATGTGGTGGTGACCATATAAATTTGCTTGTTTAATGGTGTCTTGATTCCTGTTCAAAGGCTTAAGCCTGCACAATATATGTGCTATGTTAGTTAGGATATATATATATATATATATATATACTACTTTGGTTTGGACACAAACATCTAAACAATAAATGATCTGAAACATTTGTGGTGAAGTGTTATTTGGTGCTCAGAATTATTTCATTTATTAATTTTCAGTGTGATTGGTGTTTCTTTAAAGAAAACTTTAGAATTCATTTTGTACTTATGTTGTATTTAGATCAGTTTATTAATAAAAACATTAAAAATCTTAACAATTATATTTACCTAAGTAAAATTACTGTAAACAGGAGAGCATAATGGTTGAAAACATGAGCTCTGGATTCAGGGAAACAAGATTTCACCTTTAACCCAATTACATAATGAGCATGCTATTAAATTGTGACATTTATTAGCTCTATTAATCCTTGTTTTATAAATGGGAAAAATGGGAATAATTTTGGAAAAATGGTAGGAAACCTGCCTAATGGAGAAGTTCTAAGAACAATTTAATAATGTAGACATGGGTAACTATTGTTCCTACCATGTTTCATCATCATCAATCATCTCTGCAGCCTATAGCCACAAATTTACCAACAGATTAGGTGCCAAAAACTCACTTGTGATTTGTTTGAAAGTTTAAATACTATTTCCCGTCATAGAATAACATTATAAATATAGGTTAGAGCTAATTGAAATAATGCTATCAGCTCATTAGTGATACACTATACATTTGTTATGGGTTAAATAGGCTCTCTGGAGAAACCAGAACTAGACTATTTAGAATGATTATGATAAAGGGTGCTACTAATCTTATTGTATAGAACAGAATCCAGCAATTTTTTTCTATAAAGGGAGAGATAGTAAATATTTTGGGATTATTGGACACATAATTTCTGTCTACACAACTACTCAACTACTCGACTCTCCTGTTGTAGTGAGAAACCAGATGTATATGGTATATAAATGAACAATTGGGACTCTGCTTCAGTAAAACTTTACGGATCTTGAAATTTGAGTTTCATAAAAATTTCAGATGTCACCAAATATTCTTCTTTTTATTTTATTTTTTTCAAACATTTCAAAATGCAGAAACCATTCTTTGCTCACTAGCTGTACAGAATCAGGCAGCAGGTTGGATCTGACCTATGGTCCATAGTTTGCCTACCCTTGTTCTAAAATATGATTTCTGTTTCCTCTAAACTTTCTTGTTCCAAAATAGTTTATTTCAGTCACCCCTGTCAGCCTCTCACCTCTCAGGTATCTAAAAGGTTCAAAAAAATTGAAAACTGATTATTTTTACAAAAAGCTTGAACACACATGGACTAAGACAGAGTGTTAGTAACTTGGAACCTGAATCAGAAGGCCCAGACCCCTTATTTTGAAAGCAAAGGAAATCATCTCATACCTAATGGAATTGCTATAAAAGACACATGAAATGATACTTTAAGTAATCATAAGTTAGGTAGCACTGTAGAATTGGGAGACAGAATTTTACTATATTAGTTTGTTGGAGTCATCATAACAAAATGCCACAGCCTGGATGGGTTAAACAACAGATTTTTTTTTTTCCACAGTTCTGAAGGCTAGAAGTTCAAAATCAAGGTTTGGGTAGTTTTGGTTTGTGCTGAGGCCTCTCTCCTTGGCTTTCCAGATGACTGTGTCCTCATATGGCCTTTCCTCTGTGCATGTACCTCCATGATGCCTTTTCCTCTTTTTGTAAGGATATCAGTCCTAATAGATTAAAGGTCTCACCCTTATGACCTTATTTAAACTTAGTTACATCTTTCAAGGTTCTATCTCCAAAAATAGTCACATTGGGCATTATAGCTTCAACACATCAATTTGAAGGGACATATTTCAGTTCACACTAGTATTACATATTAATGATTAAATTGTCCATTAAACAAGGTAGGTTACCAAGCTGAATCCCCTTAGATATGACAGAGGTAGAGTAGTTGGTGTTACAATGAGGATACATTTTATAATAGCTTCTTCAGTTAGGCTCACTATTTAAAACTGAGGTTATTTCCATCTGAGATAAATCAAAATAGAATGAATTATATTACACTGAATTTTGGTTGGACTAATTTGTTTTTGTATTTGGTATAGGAAAATAAAGTGCCAAGGAGTAAAATTAATTTGCTTGATAGAGATTGATTTTTGACCTGAGAAAGGTTAGACTAGCAAATGCTTTTAACTCCAGGAATAAGAAGCAATGCTTCAGGACTTCTGGTTGTGCTCATGCAGGAGACTTTGGCCAAGATATAGAGTATGTTTCCCCTAATGTTTTCTACTTCTTATGACTTCCTTTCCAGTGAACATTGGACTACTTATTTCCTTAACGTTTATTTGGTATTTATCATGTGCACCTTTGTTATTGTTAATTTAATCCATGTGTATTTGGCTTCTAAAGACCAAAATGTAGTGAAAGATAATGTAGTCTAGAAAAATCTAGAAGTTTTACAAAAAATAAAGAAATAAAGTCCACACACAACTACGAAGACTGACAGGTGTTTAATGGACACACATTCATAATCAAGCTCCTGTTGACAACCATTATTTGAAGATTCAGTTATATAGTTAATTTCTTTCTTTTAAGCCAAAAAGTGGCAGTTGAGTTAATTTTGTCAATAATGTGTAGATTCATGTTATGGGATGTAGTTTGCTAAGAACCTAGTGGAAGCCATATAAGTAATTTTAATTGAGATTTTTACAACCATTTGATAACAGTGTTTTGATCACTGTAGTTAGGGCAGGATTCCAACAGTGGCCATAAAATCTGTGACTAATCCATTGAGTCACCCAGTCTCTGTCATATATTGTTTAATGGCGCATGCTACCAGAAATTATTATCACTTTCTAGTGATAATTTTTAAGAAGAGAAACTTTGTAGACACAAAAGATGAATATAAGTTGAAAACTTACGCTTATAAAGACAGTTAATAAAACATCCCCTCACTAAGGTATATGAGAGTATACTCATGTATTTATAATGGCTCTTAAGTCTCAAATCATATATATATATATAAACATAAAAATATATGTGTGTGCATATATATATGTATATATGAGACTGATGAATATTTTAACTTTCCTTGGTTAATGTTTGTAGGGCACTTACAGATGCTAGAATAATCTCTAATGTTTTTGCTCAATCTGCTCTGGAGATGGATGAAATAAATAGTTTAAACTAATTAATGTAACACCAGCTGTTACAAGTGCTTGGCAGACGTCTGTGCGTTTTGATGGGCAGGGAGCGGCTGTTGTACTTGACTTTATTTTAGTACAATGTTGATCACAGTGTAAGCTGGAATAAATGACAAGCCAAAAGAAGGAACAGAGGATGAATTTCATGTAATGAAAAATAAATACCATCTTCTTTTTCTAAAAATATATATGTGTTTTAAGGTGGGGGAGAGAGACTGTTGGGCTGGACTTCATTAAGTCATAAGGCGTTTGACAGCTGCTAGTTTAAACATGCTGCTAAAATACAGGTACGTGATCTTGGACACTGTCCTTGATTTTTCCAAAGGACCTATTAAAGTTGCAGGTATGCAGTGTCAGCTAGATGTTTGAGACCCTCTTTCTGCTAATTAGACGCCTTTAGAAAAAAAAATAAAAGGAAAGATACTATAGTCATCCAGACAAGATAGGGGAATTATTTTAATTGTACTATTTGAGCAAGTGGAATGGGAAAATACTGGGTTTTATGGCTTGGTGATTATGAATATTATTATTTTTAAGTTTCTACAAGGTATTTGCATCTACTTCTGTACATCTAATTCCCTCATGGAAAAAAGCAAAGAAATTAACCGCCAGCAAAATCTGAGCTCTCTTGGTCCACTGGAATGGAATGGAACTGCCTATCTCCTTGTGATGAGGGTTTCTTTCCTCATCCTACAATGGATAAAAATCCTCCTACCAACGTGCTTATTGTTTCCATAAGCGTGAAGTTTAAATAGCCTCCTAACTTCTTTCTTAAGTTGGAGGGCAGAATCGTTGTGCTCTGACAGAGAAATAGTGGTTGTTATCTCAGTGTGTGCCAACATTAAGATAACAGTGTCATTGTGCAGATTGTTACCCTGTGAATTTGTCTAATAAGTTATTACAACGTGTGCAGAGCAGATGGCAAGTGTGCTCCTGAAAGAATTGATGGATAGGATATGATGTCATCAGTGAGATGACAAGGTTCACAAGGTACTTGACCTCCAAGAATAAGTCCTAACTGGTTAGAATTCTAAATGGTGAACTTTGGTGACACTAGCTAAATGGGAAATATGTGCAATTTGTATTTCTTTATGGTGGTGTTTACCCCCTTTACTGAACTCCACATAATGGGATTTTGTCCCTGAAGACTCAGAGATATTGTTGGAGGGTTGCACCGTGTAACCTTCTGAGGATTTCAAATACAAATCTACACATCTAAACTTTAACAAAATCATAGCAAATGTTATTTATGAAGTCAGGTTCAGAGCTTTCCCTTTTTTATATGTATATATGCAGAAAGAACATAGTTAAGACATCCCATTAATTTTAACATGTTATCACAAAATAGCAAAATGCTGACTCCGTGAAAATATTCAGTGCATAAAATTAAACTTTTATATTTTCGTTGGAATATGTTTCTATATATACAAGCCTAAAATAAGCTGTCAGAGATCCTGATGTTGTCTTTATATTTTCATTATGACTTTACTTGCACTTACAGGGGACAGACCTAAACACATTAACATTTTTACTTCAATATTATCTTTTTTAAAAATTTCAATTGACTTCAGAATCTCTTCCTTATCACCTATGAGTTGTGATCTCAAAATTTACATTGGCCTGGAAAATGTATTCTGGAAAAATATCATAACATGTGTGATTAAAGATATGGTGACTCAAAGGAAAGGTAGGCAAAGTGTGATACTAGTATATGTGCATTGTGCAAAATCAAATAAAAAAACCTAACCATTTATAATTGTTGTGTGGGAAGAGGTTGACTGATTAAAAGACATGCCCAAGAAGAAAACATTGTAGATTTATTAAGGAAAGGACTAAGCATCAAATGCATGAACTTCCATCTGCTAAACATTCTTGACATCAAATTTTACATATAAGCTGACAAGAATTCTAAGGTCTAACAAAAATAAATTACCCTAAGTGTGGTGGGCTGCATTATCCTTTTTGTTCATTTTGAATAACTAAGCTGAAGTTATAAATAGGCAAGAATTTTTTTAGAGACAAGTTTCATTTCATTGAAGGAGATGAAAGAAATGTACACATATAACTCTGTCTAACATAAAGGATATGCATGTTTTTGTGGCAATTTATGAAAGAATATTTAAGTCCTTGGAATAGTAATTTCATTATGAAATATAACTATATATATCTATATATACACAATTGGTATTAACAAAGTTATAGTAATAGTAATTTTTTATCAACTGAATGAACTTGAAGATAAATTACCCTACAAAGTTTATTCATTTGATAACTTTACATGAACTTGTAGTAGCAGAAGATGCAGAAATATAGTATTTTAATTCATTCTTTTTTATATAAATCCTTACTAACCGTAAATAAAGTTCTGAGGGTTTCTTAATTACTTTACATTGACAGCAAAAGTTTAGCCTATAGTTGCAAATGTTATAGCAATGAATTAATTTTAGAGCAATTACTTGGTAATATAGATTATAATTTAGATTTAGCCTTATCTATTTGGATATATCAAAGCCTATATGTTTAAGCCACTTCTTAGCTTATACTATCATGTGTTAATATTGCCTAGATGATTAGCATAATTAAACAGTATTCTGTCAATGTATATCAAGTGATCAAAGGAGCTTATGAAATTATTTGATAAATTATTCAAATGGACTTTTTATTTTTAATATAAATGAGATAACAGAACTCATATCTCATACCACATTGACACTCAGTATTGATTATATGGCTAAACCATTTTCAGGAGCTGCCTTTACTTAATCTGATCTCTTTTTCTGTCTGAGGCAGATAAAATATTAATACAAGGTAAATGAGTGTTCACTGAACTTGCCATATGGCCCCTGTGGAGGACAGAGGGGCCTGGGCAGCCTATGGACTTGCCATATGGGCCTAGAGGGAAAAGGTAAGTATTACACAGAGAACAAATCTACCATATGGACTGGGTGGAGCACTTGAGACTGTAAATACTTTCTTATACTGGAGCATGTTCACAAAAGAATAAAAACCACATAAATAATACATTATACAAAACCCTTGAAAATGGATCAATTGTTTAGATTTAATATGATGCTTTCAAGCAATGTCCAGAGCATATAAATAATCATGGTTTACTTTGAAATGGCAAAGAGGATCATCAATCATTTACCCTTGACATTTTTACATTGCATTTAACATCTGTTCCATAATAGCATGGTACAGTAATATACTTAACATCATATTACACACTGAATCTAAACAAATAAATATAATACTAAATTAGAGTTTCTGAATGTTTGCCTTGCTTCTACTAATATTTTTGCAAATACTGTATTATCTGCCCTTTTCATCACTTGAATTTTTTGTTATTATATAGAGCAGATGAAATTAAGCAAATGGCAAAAGCAATTTTCTTGGTACAATCAAACCTCATTAATTTGGTTTCTGCTAATATGGAATTTATGATAATTCAGCTTGGGCTTGATAAAGTTTACCTTTGTTCTAGATATAAAGAAAAGATTTGCTAAGCCAATTATTAGTATAAACAAGATGACAATGAGCATGTTTAACCCACTTAAGAGAGCATACTTTTAAAGGATTTCAGCACATTAATGGAATGCAAATACATACTGCTAATAACAAATGAGTCTAATTTAGTCTTTGAAACAGGTCTTGTAGTACCTGTATTTGGTAGCAGATGGTTCCAATTACTGTATATATTTCTAAGTTCTGTGCATATTTCTTTACCGTGTCTATTACTTATATTTTGTGGAATTTAAGCCTACTCATTTTCACCAATCACTATCTTATTTTAGTCTCTAAAGCATCTATGTCAATTATTTTTTAAATGTATAATCTTTTTAAAAATGTATAATCTTTAAAAAAAGATTATTCTTCTAGATTTTCTTCCAAGGTATATACCTTGATTCTTTTGTGGGTTTCTTAAATAGGGTTTTATAAGTGAAACAACAAAAGGCCTTTAAGAATCAATTTAGACACACACAGTTTGGCAACTATGGATGTATTTGAAATTGTATTTCAAGTTATTTGTGCAATTCCTTATAGCCAATTTACACATGAATACATTAACATTTATTCATACAGGAGTTTGATATGTTCAGGATCTGACAACACTATATTGAACACTTTGAGATCCAAGAAAAGTTTATTAAAGGCCAAAATTATCCAAATTTTTGGAGTTTATTGGTCTACTGGACCAAATATTTGTGTTCACGCCAAATTCTTTATTAAGAATTTGGTCTTTACTCAGTCTTCAGAGTTGACATTTTACTTTCTCCTCTGTTTTAGTATTTTGCTTTCCTTTTGTGTTTTCCTGTTATCTCTACAGAAGGACATTAGAGCGTCTCCCTCTGTTCCCTTACTTTTTCTCCTTTCATATAATGGTACTTGTTAATCCGTGCGGTAAACCAAAGGGAAATTTATAGTACTTTAAATTAAAAGAATGTGTAGGGCAGAGGAACATAATGCAGAGAAGGCTAGGCAGTATGCAGAATGCCAACAGGTGGGTGCCAGGAAAATGGGTTATAGCAGGAAATAGATAACAAATGAAGGCCTAGAAATAGAAGGCAAAAGTAAAGTTTCAAAAAAAATTGGTATTTGAATGCATTAGGGGATGCTTGACCATGGAAAGTTGGGTTCTGGGTTGAATTTCCAAAAAAGAAATGCTGAAATTGGTAACATAAGAAGTATAGACCTAGGGAAATGAAGCGTTTTGAGCATGGAACCAAGACACACTTTCTGGTATAGAATGGACCTCAGTTACAGTTTTAGGAATAAATCCTGTAGGGAAGCAAGGCAGGGATATAATTACTAGAAGCAGGACCCAAGGCCAGAGTAGATCAGTAAAGACAAATTGATGCTGAGTTTCTGTTTGTTAAATCTCCTAGCTTAATATGCCTTGTATTACTCCTTCTGCTGAAACAAAAGATTGGTTTCAATAGTTGCTGGCAGTTGGAAATCTAGTTAAAGGCTAAGTGGCATATGTATAAAGGCAAGGAAAAGAAAGGTAATCATTATAATTTTAGTTCCATACCTAAGAGGCTAGTAAGGTTTGTTCCTTTCCTTTTTCCATTTTTTAAATTTTATTTTTTTAAAAGGAATAAATGTAGACAGCTGTGATAGCCATTCAATGCTCTTGAATTGAGTTTTTCTCTTTTTACTTTATGTTTTGTTTTGTTTATATTTCCATCTTTCCCTTAATTAGAAAACAAGTAAGAATTTTGGGCTCAGGGTTTCTAGTAAATAAAACAAATCTTTATTTCCAGGGGACCATTATCAAGCACTCATATTTTCCTCCACTCTGTATTGTGGCTCCATTCTAGAGGGTTTCCTTTCTAATTTCCTCGTTTGTTTAATATCACTACATTTTTTTTGGCTCTCAGCACATAAATGAGGATTTTTCTATTTCACTTGTACTTCTTCCTCATTTCAGTTTCCTCACAAATTCCCACAAATTTTTTTCTCAATCTCTTTGGAACAAGAGTGCCTAACCAGTCAATAACAAGGTTATAAATAGTAGTTTTCTAAACTGGCTGCCACCACCATGCTCATCTTTCTTCCATACTCACATGCGTGTCATGTGTCTACTCTGTAAAATATGGATTGGGATGTGTAATGGACCTCCCTTGTTAGTCCTTGTTACTGTTAGCATTGCTCCTACAAGAATTCCATAGGCTTTTACAAGCACATAACGTAGTGCTGTAGAAAAAAGCAAAAACAAAAACATAGTAATGAATTTGTATAAACATTATTTCAAATTCTGGCTCTGTTCCTGTGTAATATTAGGAAAATTACTCAATCTCTTTAAGGTTCAGGTTTTTTTATGATGAAAAGGAGATAATAATTCTATGCAACATTTTTGTGAGAGTTACATAGAATAATGTGTTCAAAGATCTAGTATAGAGATAAAAGTATTTTACTGCAACATTTAATAATAGCAAACATTTTGAAACAAACTGAACGTTGCAATAGAGGAAGGCATAAATGAGATAAAACATTGCTGTGTAATGGAATACCATTCAGCACTTCAAATGAATAAATAGATTTACATGAATCAAGCCTTAAAACACAGTTTTGAGTCTCAAAAACATAATGAAAGTTGAAAAAATATATTAATGGCATGATATTGCTTATTTAAATTTAACCTAAAATATGTTCAATGTTTCTCATAGTTGCACACAAATTTGGATAAATCTATGTCTTTGTAACTCTATGAACTAGAATGTCACACTAACGATTCATCTTGTTATTTGACCCTGGAAAGGAGGGGAATAGAATGGGACTGAGATTAACAAAATGATAGGAGGAGGTGTGGGATTGGATAATGAAGTGTTCATTTTTTGAACATTTTTTTTAGGATATCTATTAGATATCCCCGTAGAGATGTGAGTCCAGAGATGAGGGCACTTCAGGCAAAAGGTCTGAGCTAACGCAAATAAATTTTGGAGGCATCAGCATATAGATGGTATTTAAAGGCTTGTGTCTGAATGAGATCATTAGAGGATTCGTATAGCAAAGAGAAAAGGTCAGAAGGCACCTGTTATGTCTTAAGCTTAAAAGGACTAGATAAGAATGAAAAGCGTTAAAGAGACTAAGAAGAAGCTGCTATTGAGGTTTTGGGAGAAGAAGAAAGAATAGTGTCCTGGAAGCCAAGTTAAGAAAGGGTGTCAAGAATGAAGAAATGTTCAATGTGTCAAGGGCCTCTAATAAGTCAAGTAGAGGGAGGTCTGATAATTGACCATTGGATTTGGTATAATGGACATCACTGTTAACTTTGATAAAAGTAGTTATACTAGAGAACTGGGAATAAAAAGTTGACTAGAATGAGCTCAAGATTAAATTGTGAGGAAAAGATAAGATAACAGAGTATAGTTAACTCTTGAAAAAGAAACTGAAAAACTGGAACAATAATTAGAAGGAACGATGGTATCCAGGGATGTTTTCTTTTTTCCATTAGATGGGATATAATATAGCCTGGCTATATGCAATTAGAACTATTTAGTTAAGAGCAGAAGAGTCTGTAAAAGAAAGGTACAATTGCAGGAGAAATTTGAGGCAGTACATTTGAGGCAGAGAAGAGAAGGACTTACTGAATATCATTGTTAATATTTGGAAAAACCAGCTCTAGGACCCATATTGAAAAACTTAGTAAAAATATAAGCCGACTGTTTCCTACAGAATTTTAAACTTCGTGTTTAGGATTGTATTTCTTCTTTATATTTTTACCACCTCTTTGACTCCTTCATTACAATTTAAGCCCTGATAACCTTGTACTTAGACATATTATTTGTACTCTTAATTTCTCACACTAGTTGTATTCACCTTTCATCTATTAGTCTCATTCCTAATTTTTTCTACTAGTTATATTTTATATATTCTTCATATTGTTATGAGTTGGTTTTAATTCACATCCTTTCCAGTTTCTGATCTGTTTCATGAAAGAATGTTTTTGAGTTTCACTGTACCTAGCACATTTCATTATTGGACTCAGTTGATAAGATTAGTAGAGACAGAGGTTGTATCAGATTCTGGATTTCTTTCAAAATCATGCTGAAAGTTTGAGAATTCAGTTTATAATGAATAGAGAGCAGGCAATTAAATCATATATTTTATTAATGAGTGGAGTGAGGTGTGGTAGTAGAAAGATCAGTCAAAAGCAATGCACCTGTTAAGGTTAAATATACTAATAGTACATTTATACACCCTGGTGTAGGGTGACAGTTGAAGAGAAACACAGAAATGTTAAGAATATTTTGAAGGGATAATTTGGTGAGTGTATATGTGAGAAGAAAAGTTAAATACATCAAATCAAAGCTATTCTTAGAATAATTTCAAAGATGGTGGTATCACTGCGAGGAATAGAGATGATAATAGTGAAATGCATTTGGGGAAACTAAGTTTTTTATATTATTTTTAATATGCTTAGGGTGAGGACATGTAGATAAACTCAAACTACAGCCATGTAATTAGTTAACAATATTAATTTGGCCAGGTGCAGTGGCTCCTGCCTGTAATTCCAACACTATTGGGAGGCTGAGGCAGGAGGATGGCGTGAGCCCAGGAGTTCGAGATCAGCTTGGGCAACATAGTGAGACCTTGTCTCTACAAAAACTAAAAAAAAAAGTTACCCAAGTTGGTGTATGCCTGTAGTCCCAGCTCCTTAGGAGGCTGAGGTGGGAGGACTGCTTGAGCCTAGGAAGTTGAGGCTGCAGTGAGCTATAATCATGCTACTGCACTCTAGACTGGGTGACAGAGCAAGATCCTATCTATCTACAAAAAAAAAAAAGTAATTTTTACCACATTCACTGTTTAGATCTGTCTTCCATGCATATAAAATGATACTAACAAGTACAAGTTATTCTTTTGTTTTCATTATCTTTCTAAGAGAAAATAAAAATTGTGAGAGTAATCATCATGAGAGGGAACAGAAGCCCAAGTCAGATGAAGAAACAGGACGAAAATACTTGGCAATTCACAATGAATTCAGGCCACGTGAATTATATCACAAGATATTTAGACTAAATTTACAGTCAAATATGCTGACCCACAAAAGAAGTGATCAGTAAGTAAACGTACTAATATGCAGCTATGATTTTTTTTAACTGGACAGAGGCACAGTTCACTTGCAGTGAAAGAAGTGCCTCCATAATGACCCTGAAGAAGATTCTAAAATCATTCCTTAAAATAATTTCTTAGAAAACATGAGTGCAATGACTAGGATTTGTATGGGCTCATCAGAAAAGCATTCTTTTAATCTAGGCTCATTTTCTTTGCCCAACAGAGAAATGAGGAAATAATAGGATGAACAGATTCCAGTAAACATTTATAGAATTTTTATGTTTAATTGTTAGCAATAAATAGATGATAGACAATTAGAAAATATATTAACATTGGCAGGACTAAGCCTAAAGTGGAGGTTCAGTTTAGAAATTTGATAATAGGTTGAGATAATAAATTATATACATTTCCAAAAGTTATGTATTATCTCCATATATTAAAACCTTAGCCATGCTGTAAGAATTGTGTCCTGATTATCTTTCATTCTGGAATTATAATTGTTCTCTTCCAGGTAGTCAGTCCAAGGATGGACTAGATGTCCTCACTTGCCGTGACAGTTCCTCTGTCTTATCTTTGTTAGAGTATTTTCTATACAGTGTTGCATTTGGCATTCATCCATAAATATTTCTAGAGTGACTAGTTTCAAATTTGTCTAATTTTCCAGCTGAACTAATTGGCAAAATAAAATGTATTCATATTTCAAGGTTAATTGCATTTCATAAAAAGTTCCTGATTAAATTTATGATTAAATTTAACAATTGTAAAAATAGTTTTGTTAGTGAAGGAAATAACAACTTTCTTAAAAGTATCATGAGATTTTTGAAGTTATTGTTATAGGAGGCACTATATTAAAATTCTCTGTGGAGAATTTCTATGCTAAAAAACAAAGTTGGGGAATAGATTTTAGAATACATTATAAGATAAACAACAGAGAATACTATATTTATGAGGATTCCCAGCTTAAAGGAAGAAACACTAATATGAATGATCTCCTGTCACTACTGCATGGATAGATCGGGGATGTATAAGAATCTTAAGATGAGTAGGTTGCAAAAATTTTCTCCCATTTTGTAGGTTGCCTGTTCACTCTGATGGTAGTTTCTTTTGCTGTGCAGAAGCTCTTTAGTTTAATTAGATCCCATTTGTCAATTTTGTCTTTTGTTGCCATTGCTTTTGGTGTTTTAGACATGAAGTCCTTGCCCATGCCTATGTCCTGAATGGTAATGCCTAGGTTTTCTTCTAGGGTTTTTATGGTTTTAGGTCTAACGTTTAAGTCTTTAATCCATCTTGAATTCATTTTTGTATAAGGTGTAAGGAAGGGATCCAGTTTCAGCTTTCTACATATGGCTAGCCAGTTTTCCCAGCACCATTTATTAAATAGGGAATCCTTTCCCCATTGCTTGTTTTTCTCAGGTTTATCAAAGATCAGATAGTTGTAGATATGTGGCATTATTTCTGAGGGCTCTGTTCTGTTCCATTGATCAATATCTCTGTTTTGGTACCAGTACCATGCTGCTTTGGTTACTGTAGCCTTGTAGTATAGTTTGAAGTCAGGTAGTGTGATGCCTCCAGCTTTGTTCTTTTGGCTTAGGATTGACTTGGCGATGCGGGCTCTTTTTTGGTTCCATATGAACTTGGAACCAACCCAAATGTCCAACAATGATAGACTGGATTAAGAAAGTGTGGCACATATATACCATGGAATACTATGCAGCCATAAAAAATGATGAGTTCATGTCCTTTGTAGGGACATGGATGAAATTGGAAATCATCATTCTCAGTAAACTATCGCAAGAACAAAAAACCAAACACCGCATATTCTCACTCATAGGTGGGAATTGAACAATGAGATCACATGGACACAGGAAGGGGAATATCACACTCTGGGGACTGTTGTGGGGCGGGGGGAGGGGGGAGGGATAGCACCGGGAGATATACCTAATGCTAGATGACGAGTTAGTGGGTTCAGCACACCAGCATGGCACATGTATACATATGTAACTAACCTGCACAATGTGCACATGTACCCTAAAACTTAAAGTATAATAAAAAAAAAAAGAATCTTAAGAGCTTTATGTGAGTTTTGAAAATGCATGTAAATGTAATATTTTTATTTATTTCATTTTAGTTGTATTTATTTAAATTTTTCTAATGTAGAATAACATTAAATAACAGTATAGTTTTTAATCTATATCAAGAGGATGAAGGAACAAAATCTGCATGTTTTGTTTGCTTATTCAAATGTGAAATGCTTTCTAATCAAGTTGAATATTTTAATTATTTTTAAATTTTTAGTCAATATTAAGTCATTTATGGAAATTGCCTTTCAGTCTGTATGCCACTTATAATTTGTTAATCTTAGGTATATAGGCTAAAGTGGAAAGTACTAGAATATAGAAAGTAATAGTAAAACTTTCAGTTTCTACCTGGTTTTTTCATTCTTATGAAATCTTAGTATATGAGAAGGAATAAGTAATGAAAGATAACTTATTATCTAACAAAATAAACTTATTTATTTGCCTAAAGCTTCTGGTGATATTTAAGGTAAATTAATAATTGAAACAGAACAGAACAGTTATTGGATTTACTAAATATGGAAGAGTTCTACATATGATATACCTATATGTACCTATGTACTTATGTAACTAAGTGTATGTGTGGTGTGCAATCATTTAGGTATACACACACAAACACACACACACACAGAATCTGCTTTACTTTGAAATTGCTTCAACAGTAGACTTATATGGTTATTTTATCTATAGTAATATAATGTATCTCAAGCCTTCTAAATATACTATTAAGAAAATTTTTAGGCTGGGCGCAGTGGCTTACGCCTGTAATCCCAGTACTTTGGGAGGCCGAGGTGGGTGGATCATGAGGCCAGGAGATTGAGACCATCCTGGACGACATGAGGAAACCCTGTCTCTACTAAAATACAAAAAAGTAGCCGGGCGTGGTGGCACACACCTGTAATTCCAGCTACTTGGGACACTGAGGCTGAGGAATCACCTGAACTTCGGAGCCGGACGTTGCAGTGAACCGAGATCTTGCCACTGCACTCCAGCCTGGCGACAGAGTAAGACTCCAGAAAGAAAGAAAGAAGGAAGGAAGGAAGGAAGGAGATATCTAATTAACAAATATATGTGTTTCTAAATTTGCGATTTCTCAGTAAGTTAAAACTGAGTTAAGTGTACACAAATAGTCGAAGAGATTAATTGATTTCATTGTGAAATATTTTTAAATAATGTATTGATTCATCCTACATGTAAAAGCCAGGCACCATTCAAGGTATAGGAGACACAACAGCTCACAGTACAGAGAGACATCTTGTTCTTAAGGAATTTGTATTGTAATTGAAGAAGACAAACAATAAGGAAATATATAGAAAAATATCAAGTAGTAATAATGGTAGCTTGATATACATTGAACATGCCATCGAAATAAAAAGTCACTGGTTACATAAGAATGAAATGGTTCTATATTCTCATGATACATCCATGATTAGGAAGAGTTGCCATTTCTGTAAGATCATGACCAACCTTCTCCTGAACATTCTGAGCTACAACTTGATGATCAGGTCTGCAAGACTTCACTCAAATCTGGCCTTATTACATCTCAAATTCCATTCTAACCTCTCTCCCCTTAGCGATCTCATCCACGCTGCCTTTCCTCAGTTCCTCCTAACGTGTTATCTTCCCAGGTTCAATTCTTGATCTGAGCTATGTCTTTTACCTTGAATGCATAAATTCTTCATCAATTAAACAAATTCCACAAAATAAATATGAGGCATTCATACTATTACACATATAGAATACAAAGCAGAAGATAACAGGAAATACTTTAATGAATGCAGATAACACAATGTTTCTTTTTTAATTTGAAATTTTAAAGTAACTTTAAAATTTCTAATAATTTTTCAAATTAAATTTAAACATAGGTATTAAAGTAAAACAACCAAGATTTCTCGTGTTAATTGTTGACTTTTTGAGCCAACAGATGTGTATTTCTTAAATAGAGCACATTGAAAAGCTAGTAAGTACAATTTTATAAATCTAACAACGTCATCTCTTTTCTGTGCTACAAAGAATGAGTGGTTATAAATTGAAATTATTATTTTTAACTTATATATAGTAGAGGTCCAGGAATTTACATTATGTTTTTATGCTCTGAGAGTTGCAAAATAGCAGCTGTGCTGTTAAAGAATCCCCTTCTCGCCAAGGGAAGAATGCTGACAATGACATAAACATACACTCTTAACTTTTTATATTTCCCTAAATCCTAAAAATTAGTGCTCTCCTTTGCATTTTTATATGGCTATGTTATAAAACAGTTAGTTTTAAAGGAAAAAGTCGTAAAATCTCAATAGGTAAAAGGGATATAAAGGTCACTTAATTTAACCTTCTGTCAATTTCTAAGAAATAGTTTCCGTAATATTCCTGACAAGAAGCTTATGAACATTTGCTTGGACACTCTGCCGTGGCAAACCTGGGATTGCCCAAAACAGCCAATAGTATTTTTAAGTAGATGAACCAAATCTTACTATAATGTTATATGCATTTACTTAGTCTCTTTTGCTGCACAGGGCAGCCACAAATGTAGTTTATTATTTAGTAAATATTGGGATTTTAAAATTTAGAATTTAAATCTCCTAAGTTATTTTTATATGATAAATTCACATTTCTAAAAAGGCAACTCAAACAAAAGCAGTTTTTATTATATCCCTTCTCATTCATTCAGGCTCATCTAACTTAAAGTAAGTAACTACAACTAAAATTTATCTATGTTGCTATGAGAATAAAAGGTTTAATAAATTAACTAGTTTTGAAAATAAATTATATCAGATATTCAACAAGTCATATATAAAAATATGTTATGTGCCAGGCATTGAGGCTGCACAGGTGAATAAATGGACTGAGTTCCTTCCCTCACAGTTTTTCATGTTAAACAAACAGACAGAAATAAACCTGTAAAGAAATTTGATAATAATTTTTGATGAATTTGATCATGTGAAATGATCCTGGTAATATATACTTGTAATCAGTTGTTGTATGTGGGAAGGAAAAAATGAAGTGGTTCTAGGTATGACTTGAAGAAACCTTTGTCATTTACATACGGTGCTGCCTGTCCCAAGAGATGGTGGCAAGGCAAGATGGGAAAGAAGGGACCCATTAAAACATACCTGTAGCTTAAGCGAAGTCATTGTACTTAGTAAATTATCAGACTTACATAAATTAATTTTTCTAGACCAGCAAACTGATGCCTAGCTTAGGGTAGCATTCCAACAGCATGTTGCATGCCAGCTTATCAGAGCAAAGTAGTCACCAAGTGCAATGGGAAGTCCCAGTGCTAGCATGGAACACATTGACGCAGTCAGGGAAGGAATAGTGTCCAATACTGAAAGACGGTGATTTGGAAACCTACACAAGGTTCTTATGGTGACAAATGAGGCAGATTCATGACTAGGATTACAGGATGAAGGAATTCAGGAGAAGCTAAATTGGGACAAATGCAGAAGATAATTTGTTGCATTATCCAAGGTTTAATTGCATCTGATAAATGGGTAAAGCATGAGACTTGCTCCTTCTGAAATGAACCTCTTGGACAATAATTGTTTTGCTTTAAAAATCCTTAAGTAGACTTTGTGTTTTTACCCCATAGAATGCATGCATCAATTTAAAAGTAGTACTTTCATGGTTAAACAGCTCCGACAAGGGAAGTATAGACCTTGTTGGTATGGTTAGCATTTGATAAGGTGTAGGGTGGAGAAATTTCCAAAGAGATATTCTGCATAAGCTACCTAAAGTTAAACTTGATATTAAATGTCCACTATACTCATGGTTAGAATTTTCTAGTCTCATCTGGGAAGATTCTGGAGTTTCATTTCTGGGATAGGTATCTTAGCAATTAATCACAGATAATCACAAATAATCATAAGTGTATCAGTAGTAGTCAATTTGATGGAATCTAGGCTGGTTGATGTGAACATAGGCTTGGTTTTAGGGAATAAGTCAAGTCCTAAGGCGGAGGAGTGAAATGGAAAATCTCTACATTTGCCTTCTATTCCAAGATACAATTATATTTTTTGAATATATATTTATGGCACAAACTTGAATGCACATATTAATGTATTTTTGAATGCCCTTAAAAAATTTGTGTGTTACTCCTTGGGTGTTTAAACAACATGGGCTGTGAAATAAGGTTATTTGGGCTCAAATTCAGGCTGCTGTCTTTCCTAGTTGAGTTACATTGGCAAGTTAATTAACTTCTTTTACCTCTACATATTAATGTGTAAAATAAGTATAACACTAGTAAAACAGTAACAGAATTGTTGTAAGGATTAAATGAGCCAGTGCATGCAAAGCATTTAAAACATTGCTTTGCACACATAGGAAGCACTCTCTGTGTGCTAGTTATTTATGGTAATGATGAACATCATCATAGCAATGCCTCTGACTCTGAAGAAAGAATAAGTTATAAGTTAATAGAATCTTTACTGAGTAGTATTCCTTTTCTATTAACTTTTTATTATTGAAAATTTCAAATATACATAAAATTAGAAGAGTACTGAATTCCCATATGCCTACCCATCATTTTGTTTTAACAATGGTCATCTCAAGGCAAATCTTGTCTCATACTTCCACCCAATTTCTTCCCTTCTTCCAGAGATTTTTGAAGCAAATCTCAAACATATGCTCTGTAATCTGTACATATTTTTAATGTTTTTCTTTTTTGTTCTACTTTACGTTCAGTGTATATTTTCTAAAGATGGGTAAATCTTTTCTTAAATCACAAACACATAATCTTTATCACTCCTAAAATCTCTTAACATTTACTAAATATCCCATTAGGCTTCACATTTCACCTGTTTTCATATATGCGTATATGTGATGACTGAAAAACCAAGCACTGCTAACATACTTAAAGAGGTTTATTCTGAGCCAATGTGAGTGTCTGCAGCCTCGTGTTACACAGTCTCAGGAGGTCCTGGGAAAGTGCGCCCGAAGAGATCGAGTTATAGTTTAATTTTATACATTTCAGGGAAACGGGAATTGCCGGGAAAATCATAAATCAATACATGAGAGATATACATTGGTTTGATCTGAAAAGGCAGGACATCTCGAACCAGGGGCTTTTACAGTCATAGGTGGATTTTAGAGACTCTTTGATTGACAATTTCAGTTGAGAGAGTTAAGCTATTGTTTAAAGACTTGAAGTTCGTAGAAATGAATGCTTAAGTTAAGATAAAGGGGTCTGTGGTCCTATGATGCTCTAACAGAGTCAGATTGGAAACTGAGCCACAATATTCAGGCTTAATTTAAAAAAAAACCACTTTTTAAGTAGATTCTATGATTTGTAGGGCATGACTCCCTAGGCCTCTTAGATAGAAGTTTGAGTGAGAGAAAAAAAAAGGCCAGAGTTCAGTCTATATATGTATATTTGTGGGTGGCCATATTCATGGAATCATTCAAAATATTGTGCTTTCCATGTATTTCGTCTAAATTGACACTTTATCTTTTAATGAGAAAAGAAATGAGAATCTTCAGACTTGGGTTTGAAAAACTTTGGGTCAATCAGTTATTGGGCTTGTTTCATCTGAAAAATGAAGAATGTAGATGAGGTGATTTCCAAAGGCCTCTTACATTTTTTATAATTCCATGATAATTTTAGTCTAAAAGTTACGTGCAAATTAGACTTTGAATATCAGTCCTCAACACCAGAGCTAGTGTGTATTTCAGGGGTATTATTTGAGAATCGTTCTGTTTTATTCACATAGCAATGACACTCATTTTCGGCTTGGAGACTCATAAATGAATTAGAGCTATGCAGAGCTGATAAGAAGAGAACAGGGTATCAAACTATGGCACCCTGTGATGGTGCCTAGCATTTCTCTTCATTTTTGCTTTACTTCTAAAGTCATATTAACTTTGAAAAGGCCTTGGATTTATGAGACAACTCTTCCTCCCTCCCCCCGAAAATTCTCAAAGCACATTTCAGAAACTCATTTTTGGCAGATGTAAATTTAAGTAAATTGGCCAAGGTCACAGCACAATAAGGGCAGAGTTATCAAGGGAATGCAGTTTCCTGCTTTTTCCACCATCCATGAAATTAGAGTAACTCCACCCCTTAAAATAAAAGGGTCTACTTTTTTTTTTCTTTCTGAAATTATAAACCTTGATTTGGAAATTTTTTTTAATCATTAACTCAGACTTTCAAAAGTGGTCATTTAGAGCTGTGGAATGTTTATGGGTGCACTATGCATCTACTATTACTATTACTGAACATCTTACGACCTCTACAATTTGTTTTAAAAGGGAGTGCATTTTTTGTTTGAGCTGAACCATCAGATTTTCTTTTCATGCGGTATGACATGAGGAAGAATCTATCTGTAGGCACAAAACTGGTTCACTTTCTATGGGCAAGCGCAGACTTTAAAGTAGATTATTAAAGTACACAGAAATAGAAAATTAGATCAGAAGTGATGTTTTACTGTGAGGTCTTCTTTGGGCCTTATAAAACGAGAAAGAACTAACCTTGTTCTATTTCTGAGTTCTGAAAAAAAAGCCTCATAGCAGGCATATCACCTTTAATTAGGTTTCTGCTTTTGGGAAGCATTTTACCAGCCCCCTTTCATTTATTTTTAATGATGTTATCACTAACAGGCAAACAGTCCCTTAATAAAACAAAAACAGTTTCTATATAAAGCCTGGTGTACATGTTCTGAGTCAGTCATCTAAAAACAAATGTTATGATTGTTTCCGTTGTGCTCTTAGAACACTTAATGGCCCTACTGTGCAGATATGCAAAACATCAACCTAGGAAATATAACCGTGTCTGTTTTGCAGCTTTCAATAAATGCTTTCCCATATTCACCTGCAGTATCAGCAGTGAGGTTAAACCTACTGGGTCATGGAAATGACAGAAAGGTCAATTAAGTGAATCTTTTCAGCCTAAGCTATGCCAGTTCTTGCATAAACACTGATGACTTATGTCAAGCAGATGTGAATGCAACCCAAAATATTTGAAAGTTAAATCAGTGTGTGTGTGTGTGTGTGTGTCTGCGTGTGTGTGTGTGTGTGTGTGCGCGTGCTCGCATGTGTGTGTGTTTAATGCTTGGTGCCATTCCATTTTTTTCCAAGAAATTTCAAATTGTCAAAGGAACAAAAACCTCTGTACACAGATACCCGAGTTCTCAAGTTTTGTCTCCTCAGATGAGTTTGCTAAGATAATGATGGATTTGCTGTCAAGGCCAAGATTGGAAATATTAATAGATAGCTTGATCTTAGAATTTCTGAATACAGAAATTTTTGAAATACAGATACAGAATAGCCAGAAACTAAAGATTCTTTTTTGAGCATAATAATAGAAAATATGATTTCCCCCTAAAAATACAGTTTCTTCAGGGAATTGGGGTTCCTGATTTTCTTGAGCTGTTATCCTTGCATGGTTTCCTCATACAACCTCTTGACCTCCCTCTAGTTAAGTCTTCCCCAAAATTCAGTGCCCGTTTCTTGCCATGGTGGTTTTTTTTTTTTTTCTTCTTTCCCCTTTCAACTCACATCATCTAAACAGAATCTCTTCTTTTTTCTAAATAAGCACCAGGTGCCATTTGAATCACTCTTTTGGCATATAACCTTATTGAGATTATAAATGCATGCATTTAAAAAATTTTATTCCTAGAGCTTCCTCTTAACTCAAGATAATGTCTGTGAAATTGCCTCGTAATCAATAGAGTGGTTTTCCAATAGAAGGTATTTTTAGTTTTACTATCATGGATGTGGTATAACCCTGGGACAGGCAAAGACTATATCCTTCTCATTTTTGCAGTCTGTATTCCTCCAGCTTTTGCTTTGCCTTATCTCATTCACATATTCTTTCAGTAAATATTAATAAGTACTTACTATATGTTAGGTAGCTGCGACTAGATGATCGATTTCCTCCTCAAAAGAGTGGTCCCCAACTTTCATAAGCATCTCAAAAGAGAACTATTCAAAAGTTAAGACTCACTGATATAGGTGATAGTTGCATATAATAAGCGTGGAATACATATGCATTAAATTAGGCAACACTGTGAGTTTGGTGTATTTTTGTAGCAAACCTCCAACATTCTGCCAAACACAATGATTTCATTCCCATATATTTTTTTTTCTTTTATTCACTCAAACTCAAAATTCAGAGTTCTAATGCTGCTTGAAGTATATCCAAGAAGCCTCTTAAGTGGTTTTATGTTATTCACAGTCTATTTCTGCAAAACCTGTACTGTGTGTGTATGTGTGTGTGTGTCTGTGTATCTGTGTGTGTGTGTGTGTGTGTGTGTGTGTGTGTGTGTGTGTGTCAACACATATTTCCTCTAGGTCCTGCCACCTGAAGAGAAATTGATAAACCAGTTCATATTCTTTGCCCTTTCCCAAATTATTTCTATCAAAGTCAATTTTAACCAAACTAACTCAGGGTTAGTCCATATAAGGAAACTGATGTATACAGTAATAATTCTTTCATCAACATTATACATCTTCATCAAAGCCTTATCAGAGAGACATAATATAGAAACTACAGACTTAGAGCAGGGGCGCAGTGGCTCACGCCTGTAATCCCAGCACTTTGGGAGGCCGAGGCAGGCGGATCACCCAAGGTGGGGAGTTCGAGACCAGCATGACCAACATGGAGAAACCCCGTCTCTACCAACAAATACAAAATTAGCCCGGTACGGTGGCCCATATCTGTAACCCCAGCTACTCGGGAGGCTGAGGCAGGAGAACCACCTGAACCCAGGATGCAGAGGTTGCCGTGAGCCGAGATTGAGCCATTGTACTCCAGTCTGGGCAATAAGAGCGAAACTCAGTCTCAAAAAAAAAAAGGAAGAAACCACAGGCTTATGGTACAAGAACAGAATTTCCTCCGTGGCACATTGAAGCCAAGTTTCCAAAATGAAATTTATAAAATGTATAATTGATTGGATTATTTGTTAATTATTCATCCATTCATACTTTATATTAATATAGTATTTTATATTTTACAAAGCACTTTCACATGCATAATCTAATTGGATTTAAACTATAATCCTTTGAATTGGTAATCATCGTTTTAATAAATAAATGAAATGAGTCTCAAATAAGAGACAGGTTCTTAGCTCTAAAATTTGCTTGTACTTGGTAGAGCCAGGACTTGAATTCATACTTTCTTAATCAAGCCTGGTTTGCTTTTCATTTTACCATAGCTGTATCATGTCTTGCATTTTGGTGTCAATTTTATAAAAATTTCTGGAGTAACTTTAAATCCAGAATTTGAAGAATGGGCATTAAGTAAAATATAGGAAATAAGTTTTATTCCCAAATACCTCTAGATATTTTATATGCATCAGCATAGATATATAAAAGTCATTTTGATAAATTTTAATGTGATATTTCAGAATTCCTTATTTTCTGAGAAGATGGAGGTAGAAAGAAAAAACATTTACCTGATAATTTTTTCTCCTTTTTTTATCTGTATATATTCTTGTGGTACAAGTGTAATTTTATTATATGGATAGACTGCATAGTGGTGAAGTCAGGGTTTTGGATATCCATTACCTGAAAAGCCTACATTGTACTCGTTAAATAATTTCTCATCATGAACCTCCCCCATTCCCACACCCTTCTGAGTCTCAATTGTCTATCAGTCTACACTCTATGTCCTTGTACACATTACTTAGCTCCCACTTATAAATGAGAACATGAAGTATTCATCTTTCTATAACTGACTTGTTTTAAGATAATGGCCTCCAGATCCAGTCATATTGCTGCAAAAGACATAATTTCATTCTTATTTATGGCTGAATAGTATTCCATTTTGTCTATATATATACACATACACAATATATATATATGTTGCATATCTTTTTGTGTGTGTATATATATATATATATATATATATATATATATATATATATATATACATAGCAATTTTTTTGTTTTTTGGGAGACAAAGTCTTGCTGTGTCGCTCAGGCTGGAGTGCAGTGGTGCCATCTCCGCTCACCGCAACCTCTGCCCCCTAGGTTCAAGCCAATCTTGTGCTGTGCCTCAGCCCTCCAAATAGCTGGGATTACAGATTCATGCTACCACACCAAACTAATTTTTGTACTTTTAGTAGAGATGGGGCTTCTCCATGTTGGTCAGGCTGGTCTCTAACTCCTGGCCTCAAGTGATCCACCTGCCTGGGACTCCCAAAGTGCTGGGATTTCAGGCGTAAGCCACTGTGCCCGGCCTGTATCACATTTTTTAATCCAGTCATCCCCTGATGGACACTTAGGTTGATTTTATATTTTTGCCACTGTGAATAGTGCTGTAATAAACATACAAGTGCAAGTATCTTTTTGATATAACGATTTCTTTCCTTATGGGCTGGTATCCAGTAGTGGTATTGCTGGGTCGAATAGTAGTTTTCTTTTTAGTTCTTTGAGAAATCTGCATACTGTTTTCCATAGAGGTTGTACTAATTTACATTCTCACCATAATGTATAAATATTCCCTTTCCTTTACACCCTCATCAATATCTGTAATTTTTTCTTTCTGTAAAATTTATTATTAGTATCTACTGCTAAATTAAGCCGAGAGTGCCTAGAGTGAGAATGAATCAGTACTGAGGTTACAATTGAGCTCAGTTTAAACAACTGTGTTTTATGTCTGGAAATAATTTTCAAAATTTTTTAGGCACCAACCCTTAATCTATAGATTATTTATACTTCTACTCCAATTTAATATGTCTAGTAAGTTTGCCAAAACACTTATAAATGTATCTTTCTGTATATTTGTGATGGACATTTATTAATATAATAAAATTTTATATTTTTATAAGTAATTGTTTACTTCTGTATGGAAACTATTTTATTCTCTAGTATTTTGCTAAAATCTTCTTCACTTTGCCAGTATAGAAATAGAGAGTTTTCAAGGAAACTCCCAGATCTGTTTTAAACATTAAACATGGAGATATTTTCCATTTTAATAATACTGTATACTTCAACTCGAAATGAATAATTGTGAATCTCTTTGTAATGTGTGCTTTTCTAGAAGTGATTGAGTGTTTTTCTATTTGGAATTTGTGATATAATAAAAGACATTAGAGACCAAAACACACAGACACACATTAACTTGAAAGAGAATATATAATCCAAACCCAAAGGGATTAGTTATGAAAATAACAACTGAGTTAGATTTTATTAACAGGAAAGAAAACATTTTAAAAGTAGAGGCCCATTATTTTTTTAAACAACATTGTTCCTTAGGATATCCTGCTAAATTGTTATGTGTGATAAGATTGGAGAGAAAAATACTTTGTCTTACAGAGGCATCAATCTTACTGATAGTCAGTTATTGATAAGTGACTTAATTTTTAAACATTTTCTTCTCTTCCATTTCTGGTTTCTCATTTTGTTTTCTATTATTCTAATTGACTGTATGTTGTTATAATTATCAATGTATTTATTATATAATTATTAAGATGTTAATAAGTAGTTTTTCTGGTCAAGATTATAATATGTGCTGCTTTATTTTTCTTTAGAAAACCACTATAGTTTCAAATAACTGAATTAAAAAACAAATAATTCTTAACTTACAATGGCATTACATCCTGATAAAACCCATCATAATTTGAAAATATTGTAAATTAAAAATGCATTTAGTACACCTAACCTACCAAACGTCATTGCTTAGCCTACCCTACCTGAAATGTGCTCACTTACATTAACCTACAGATAGGCAACTTCATCTAACACGAAACTTATTTTATAATAAAGTGTTAAATATCTCACATACTGCATATTGCTAACCCAGGGGAAAAAAAGTCAAAATTCAAAACTCAAAGTATCAAAATTGCAATGGTTTTATACCATTGTAAAATTGAAAATCGCAATGGTTTCATACCATTGCATATTGCTAACCCAGGAAAAAAAAATCAAAATTCAAAGTATCAAAATTGCAGTGGTTTTATACTACTGTAAAACTGAAAATTGCAATGGTTTCATTCCACTAACAACTTAATGTAGAGAACTAGCATAACTGCCAGACCCTACCCATGTGTAGTCCTCTAAAAAATAACAGTATTCTAGTTACTGCATCTTTTGAAAGTGCTTAATTTTTTTCCTAGGAAGATGCACTTTTTGCTGCATCTGATTTGCCATCAAAGGTATTGGGAGTGCTGCCTTATAGGTGACTGAACTGTGATCTAATTTAATAAAAGAAAACAAGATAATTTAAGAATCTTATAAAGTGGAGCTTGTAAACCTAAGTAATTAATAACTTGTTCTGAAATTTTACTTGTATGACTCATTCTTTTTCAGATATTACATAGATATTCATAAATCTTTGAAATTAATAATTTTAAAACTTTTAAAATTTCTAACTCCAAACTGATACATTGTTACTCTTCATCATAATAGGTGAGAAGCCCACTTAAATAATTTTTTATAAATTTTTATAAAAAGTATTAGAAAATGTGGAATTTTACATTTGTGTGGTCCTACATTTGTCTCATTTAACCTGATATTTTTTTGTAAATGAGGAAATTGAATAGAAAGAAGTTGTTCCACGTCCAAAGCAGCTAATACTAACTGAACATTTAAGTTATTTTTATTATATTTGCCAGAGAAAAAGTTACATACTGTTTTAGTTATCCATAGCTGTGTAATAAGTTATACCAAAACTTAGTGGCTTAAACCAACAAACATTTATGTAGGATTTATGATCCTACAGTTTCTGTGGCTCAAGAATCTAGGTACAGCTTCCCTGGGTGCTTCTGGTTTAAGGTCTCATGGGATTGCAATCAATCAACCTGTCAGCCAGGGCTGCAGCCATTAATGCTTTAACTGGTTAGGAAGAATCTACTTTCAACCCAACTCGTGAGGTTGGCCCTCAGTCCCTTGTTGCATGTACGTCTCCACAGGGCTGTCTCATGTCATGTCAACTGGTTTGACCCATGGCAAGCAATGCAAAAGAAAGAGAGAGAGAAATGGAAGCTAGACATTTTATAACCAAATCTCTGTCTCTGAAGTGACATCTCATGTTTGTTGTATTCTTTTTGTTAGGTCAAGAGAAAAGGACCAGACAGGGTGTGACTAACAGGATAAGAAATCATCACAGTCCCTCTTAGAGGCCACTTCGTGCTTACTACATGCCCATAAAAAAAAAAAAAAACTCATTAAGAACATGTCACAAAAAAGTTAAAATATTTGTTATGTAACTACCGTAAACAAAAAATCTCAAAAATAATACAATTGGAATGTGGACTCTTGATTAAATCATCGTATTCTTCATATGTTATTCTTGCTGATTTTGGACTGTGTTTATGTAAGAGTGTGTCCTTGTACTTAAGAAATATACACTGAAATCTTAAGGCTTAATTGGGGAAGATGGTTCAAACATATGCACCCTCCCTCACACCATACACACACACATACACTCACACACACACACACACACTCACACACACACAGAACAAGAGAGGGAGAGAAGCAGAGAGAGAATTTAAAAAAAAAAAAGTGACAAAATGTAAACAATTGGTGAACTGGAGTTTTATTACTTTTCCAGAGCTGGCCATAACAAATGACCTTAACCCTGGTGCCTTAAAACAACAGAAGTTTATTATCTCACAGTTCTGGAGACTAGAAGTCCAAAATGAAGGTGTCAGCAGAAATGAGCTCCTTCCAAGGGCCATTTTTTATCTCTTTTAGCTTCCAGTGGTTGTCTCCCTTCCTTAACTGTAGGTGAAACATTCTAACATCTGCCTAGTTTTCACTTTGCCTTTTCTCTTCTCTGTGTCTTCTCTTCTGCCTCTTTCAAACCTTTCTCTGCTTTTGTCTTAAAAGACACTTGCCATTGGATTTAGGGTCCATCCTAAACCAAAATGATCTCCTCATCTCAAGATCTTAACTTAATTCCCTCTGTGAAAACCCTTTTTTAAAGTAAAATAACATTACTTGTCGTTACATGTCAGGAAGTATGAATAAACATATAGTTTGCGGTCAGCCATTCACACATTACAGGACTATGAAGGAATTCCTTGTACAATTCGTGTAACTTTTCTGTAAGTATACAATTATTTTAAAGTAAAATGTTTTTTAAGAAAACAAAAAAAAACAAGAAATTACATTGTCAAATGCTATACTAATCCAAAAATCATGACATCTGACTAGCCAACTTTCTCTTAAAGATAAGCTTAGAAATATGTACAGATATATCAATGAGAATAAGGTATTTTGTGAATTTGTATTTCATCATCATTCACTCTTTGAAGTCAGTGGAGATTATGTGATGTCAAAACTCTCTTCTACATTGGCCTCTCAAACTTTTGCTTTAATCTTCTTAGAACATTTAGGAAATCAAAGGTCACTTTTATTTCAAAAGGTGGAACCATGGTCCCAATATTACAATCTTTGTAGGAAGAGCTAAACGAAATCTTCTATGATATTAATTGCCACAAGATGACAACTTTATGTCTGATAATAGGGTCATGAGACCCAAAGGAATATTCTTGTTTGTTTGATCTTCAAGTAGTTTGTTTGTGTTCTTTTCAAAATTGTGTATTGACTTTAAGAATCATTTTTTCGCTTCTTAAACATTCTGCCCCAAATTTGCTAATTTCTTATGTACATATTGAATTAAAGCGTCCTTACGTAGTCTCTTCGCTATGTAAGATGATAAATGAAGGAATCCAATTAGATAAGTTTGTAACAAATAATAGCCTATTCTCATACAGCTGAAACCACGAGGCCCAAAATGAGCGTTCCATTAAAACAGCTGCAGGAAAAAATGTGCTTACAGGCATGCACGCACACATGTACATATATATATACAGAATTTTACTGCTATATTTGGATAAATGGAGTATCTGAAGAAATAATGAGTGAAGGAAAACTGTATTAGTGGCTATAGGAATTAGCTATTTAACAATTGAAATCAGTCACTCTAGGCTACATGAGCCTCTTGAGGCTTTCTGTTTGTGTTTTTAGCATTTGATCTCCAGTATCCAGCACATTGTTTATGTTAAATAAATACTGGCTACATAAATTTATGCATCATGAGTGATTTAATGATTTAATCCACACAACAGCCAAATGTAGTCAAGCATAAATGCACTGAAGTTAAATCAAATAATTATGGGGATGATGAAACTTATAGCCTAAATGTGTGTAAATGTGTACACATACATATGATTCTTTATTTTCTTGGACAGTCTTTAATAATTGTGGAATCATAGATTCTAAAGCTGAAAGCAACTTCAGGTGGTCATCTGGTTCTATGCCTTTCTTCAAGAGACAAGCAATTATTATCCCCATGATCTATTAAGCCACATTTTCTTTAGCATGTGACAGCTAAGGTGATGATGATCGAAAGATATTGCTCTCCATTCTTAAACAATTTCACATGCACATATATGTTTAACAAGTGCCTTTCCAGAGCTATTATGAGAAAACACTAGCAGCCTTGGTTTGGAAGAGCAATTTATGATAGCTAGGTAAATGGTGTCCAAGATCACCTTGCTCACATTAGCCATGCAGCATCCCTGCCCCTGCATGGCCATCTTTCTTTAACCCTGGTGACAAGTGTGATTAAAAAGAAAAATAACATGAGTCCTACTTTAGTTTGCTTACTCTGTTTCTTCCTCTAGTACTTGCTGCCTCAGATCATCTGTCTCAGTAAGTTAACATAGGAGGAAGTAGAAGGAGAAACTGCAAAGTCGTGAGTGTGAGAGGAGTTAATAGGAGGCCTTCTGGCCGTTACTCCCCTCTCCAGCTTTTCTTTCCTTTTGGTTTATTAACTAGAAATGTGGCAAGGTGAGGGAGATGAATTTAACTTGTTCTGACATTAGTGAGGGACAGGGAAGTGTGGCAGCTTCTACAATATTTCTGCCCCAGAGAGACGTAATTGGAAAACGTGTTGTGTGGTTAGATGGTGTAATGAAAAATAAAAGAATGATTGAGGAGAACAGTGGAATCAAATTATAAGCATAAGGCAAGTGTGCTGAAGTTTTTAGCTACTTGCAAAATTGAGAGATACTATCGGGACTGTGCAAATACATTGCTCTGATTAATTTTCCTGGGGTGAAATATGAAAATATTTATAAAACTGAGGATCCTGCCATGAATAAAATTTTCTCTGTGATTATGATAAACTAAAATAAGCCGTAACTTGTATCTATCTTATGTGAAACTGTAAAAATGGTTAAACAATAAAGAAAACTGAATAAAAGGATTTCACTGTGAGAGGTGAAAAGAATCTGTATTCATGAGTTACTCTAAATTGCTTAAAAATTTGAAGAATATTCAATAAGACTAGTTTATTTTGAAGGGATTTTTAAATTTGATTCCCTGAATGTTGTTATAGAAGTAGCATTTTATTACTCTTCCTTTATACCGTTTTTTATGTATGGAAGCTATAATTTTTCAATATGAAGGTAAAAGGTCTTCAAGTTCAAAAAAATTATGTCTTTAATTTTAATGATGATGAATAATTCAGTTATAATTTAGAAATACATATTTGGATTCCAGTTTTTCTTTTTAGGTGTAAAGTGAAAGATTTTAACTTTACATTCTTTTGTAAATTCCTTAAGAATATATTTGAACAAACATTGATATAAAGGAAGGGTTAATAGAGAAAGAAGCTTCCTAATATACAAAGCCCCTCTCTTATATGGAGCTCTAGAAATACTCTATTGTCAATCCAAACAGAACAAACTAAAAGGAGATAATTGGGAAGGTGCCCATAAAGTCAGCCTGAATATATTATCACAACTATATATGAGATAATATTTGTTTTAAAAAGATTCTATGGCACTGTAAACTCAGTCTCATTAGAGACTGCATTTAAAAGGCTTATAAAGTTACTCATTAATGTTATCTTGTTGTATCTCCACAGCTTTTTCATTAAAGAAAATTCAGCAGAAAGCATTTTCTCCTGATAGCAGGAACCAATTTGCAATAAATGTTCTGGAAACCACTAGGGAAGCCATTACTGAGGTCTAATAAAAACAGACAAGCGTAACTTGTTCTATATTTTTGTTTCAATCACATGCAGATGAGACCCCGCTTTCTACACCAACCGCAAGAGACAGCCTTGACAAACTCTCTCTAACTGGGCATGGACAACCACTGCCTCCAGGTTTTCCATCTCCTTTTCTGTTTCCTGATGGACTGTCTTCCATCGAGACTCTTCTGACTAACATACAGGTAGGCCTTTTTACAACCTGGAAGAAAGACATATGGAACACCCTGTTGTAGATTTTTTTTTTCCAAAATTTATACTGTTCCTACTTAATCCCATTAGACTGACTGAAACATGGTATTAAACTCTTCAAGCAACTTAGATTTTAAACCTGTTACACTAATCAAATTAGCTTAGAAATACTCATATATATATATATATTCATATATATGTATATTAAGCCATAATAAAAACTTAGATGAAAATGACATAGGCCTTTAAAATTCATTCTGTCTAAAATGCTCTCTTTATTACCAACTAATTGGAGGAATTTAACTGTTTAAGTTTGTCTGATTTTACTAAACAACGGCACACTAGTTCTAATAAATATTTAGTTATTTTTAAACTGCTGGACTTCTAGTGAGGAAATGATATGTTTAGTCATTTAAAATATGTCTAATTTAGAAGAATCCAAAAAAATGCCTTCTTTCATAAATAAGTTTGTTTCAATTAATAGAATTTCTTCAAAGACTAGACTTCAAAAAGCCTTACCAAACTTTCCACGGATTTCCTATGTGGTCCTCAGGATGTATATTTTATGTACAGTACATTATGAATCAAAAATACTTACAGTTAACAATAACATAGAGTGTGGAGCCAAGATAATAAGAGTGTTTGGGATAGAAGAAAGCATAATTTTCTTGCCCACACATGAAGTGATCATGTGGACCCCAGATGGAGATTTTTGTCATCTACTTCTCCATATTTGGGTAGCTAGTGAGTAGTAGGCAGAAGTTGCTGATAGTGTGCTGGTAAGCTCCTTTTTAGAAAAATTCTTTTACTCTAACATTCCATCCTCAGTAATATTTTTCTGTACACATATCCTATCATATTAAAGTTTCCCCCAGTGGAAATGTAATTAATTTTATTTACCTCTCCAAGGACATAACAGAAGGCCTTTAATGTAACATATCTTCTCATCTATTAATATGGCATTTTTTAATACTAATGTAATTAGAGTCTCCAGAACTGTATTCAACTTTAAGGTTTTATAACTCAGTAATTGAAAATCATCAATCCAGCCTATACTAAATCATGGCCAAATAGTCGATTATATAAAACAAAAGACTTTTCTTTCTAAATTTCACCCATATTATTGTTTATTATAAGATAGTGCTTTTAATGAATTTTTCTTATGTTAAGGTAAATGTTTTCAGAAAATATCCCTTAACATTTCTGAATTTATGTTCTGAAAAGTAAAGGAATAATTCATTTTCTTATGTATAAAACTCAATATGAAGCAAAAGAAAAGCTATTTGCATGGATTGTCATTAACTGAAAGCTCTTTAACCAGGTCAGTGAGGATTTAATTTCAATTTCAGCAGAGAAAACGTTTCTGGGTTTCATCAGTGTAAAACAGCATGCTCATCTGAAGAGCAGGTTTGACACATGGACTCTTGAATTGTATATGACCACTACATTTCAAAGTCAAATCCTCTCAGTTTGGAGTATTCATCCACACTCTACGGACCAGAAATACTCAGATTAGGAATGTTATCCACATCACCTCGAACTATAATTATTTCAGAAGGAAGAAAAGAAAAAATAAAAGAAAGAAAGAAAAGAAGAAAAAGAACACTCCAGCTTTAAAATGTACACATTTTAGACAAATTACTCATTGTAGGTGGCTCTAGATTTAATATACTCTCCTTTCCTACCATATGCCTTCAAGACATATTTTCAAAAGAGTAGATAAAAGGACAATGGTCAAGACAAGCTAAATAATTTATTTCTATTCCCAAATTATAGGGATCTGGGACTGATAAAGTTAGAACACCCAAAATAAGAATGCTTTATTAAAAATAAATTAAGGGTCGGGTGCCGTGGCTCATGCCTGTAATCCCAGCGCTTTGGGAGGCCAAGGCAGGTGGATCACCTGAGATCGGGAGTTCGAGACCAGCCTGGCCAGCATCATGAAGCCCCGTCTCTACTAAAAAAAAAATACAAAAAATTAGCCAGGCATAGTGGCAGGTGCCTGTAATCCCAGCTACTCGAGAGGTTGAGGCAGGAGAATTGCTGGAACCTGGGAGGTGGAGGTTGCAGTGAGCTGAGACTGTGCCACCACACTCCAGCCTGGGCATCAAGAGTGAAACTCCATCTCAGATAGATAGATAGATAGATAGATAGATAGATAGATAGATAGATAGATAAATAAATAAATAAATTAATTAATTTAGCTTGTCCGCTTCAATCTTACTTATATGTATGTGTATATATAGATGCAGTTATCATATATTTATATGTATGTCTAATATGCATATGCATATATTTATACATGCATGTACATATGTGCCCACAAGGTGAAATAAAAATTAAAAATCCTACAGAATTTCATGCACATGTATATTATAAATATATATATACACACACATACATATACAAACACACACATATTTATTGTTAGTAATGATTTCATATCATTTTACAAAAGCTTGCAGATGCTAACTCTTTTACTATTGTCACATTTACTGAGTTATGGTATTATCATAGGAATGGTATGGAATGTTTAAACAGTCATGACCCCGGATTATTAGGTATACAGTATAAATGTGATTGCTGTCCAAATTCTAATATGGGTAATTACATTCTGCCTACCTCAATTTCCTCTGCAGTTTCAATTATATATAATAGGGTTCTGTGCTTTCTATGCCAAAATGGTACATACTTTTTGTGTAGTAAGTTTAAAGTTCCATTTTTTAAAGATGTTATTTTTTATTAAAATTAATGACCAAAAAACCCTTTAAAATAACGTGTTTTCATAAAGTGTTATTGTTCTAATGATCAATAATTTATATATTATAATTTAAAAAGCCTGGATTTTTAAATTTGTAATGATTACCACAGATGTCCTTTCCATGACATCATCATCAAAATTAAATTTTTGTCAGTTATTTCTTTGTGTTTTAAAAGAAGATCTATAGAAAAATACTATAATTATATGTGAAAATTTTGTGTTTAAATTTTTATTTTAAAATTTAAATTTATAAAATGTACATATATATAAAAATTGGGCACCAGACTTTTGTTAACTATTTGAGCTATACTGAATTCCTGCATTTAAGTGTTATAGAAATTAAAAGTTAGCCAGGTGCAGTGGCTCATGACTGTAATCCCAGCACTTTGGGAGGCCTAGGTGGGTGGATCTCAAGGTCCAGAGATTGAGACCATCCTGGCCAATATAGTCAAACCCTGTCTCTACTAAAAATGTAAAAATTAGCTGGGTGTGGTGGCACATGCCTGTAGTCCCAGGTACTCAGGAGGCTGAGGCTGGAGAATCACTTGAACCCGGGAGGCAGAGGTTGCAGAGCCAAGATTGCGCCACTGCACTCCAGCCTGGCGACAGAACAAGACTCCCTCCAGCTAAAAAAAAAAAAAAAAAAAAAAAAAGAAGAAAAGAAAAGTTATAATGAATGAAGTAAAAAGAAAAAAAAAGACCTGTAAAAAAAATCCTATGTTGATATATAAAAAATTATATTTAAATTTTATATTTAGAAATTTATAAAATTTATATATATAAAAAATTGGGCACCAGATTTTTGTTACTGCTTGAGCTATACTACTTCCTGACATTTGAGTGTTTTAGAAATTAAAAGTGATAATGGATACAGATATCTAGAGTAAAAAACTAATTTAATTTAGTGAAGAATATGGATACAGTTCAGTTTTTGATTTTTAGAATTGCTTTTATTTTTTCTATATGGCATTTTTTTTTCATTGTGGTCTATCTTTCATTATGGCTTCCTCTTTCAATCCTGTCCATGGAGAACAACCTGTGAGATTTTATGTAAGGAGACTAAAATTTTAGTATCAGTTAACTGGATATGACACCGTCAAACATGAGCTACCATTAGAACATGATCAAAGGATAATTCTGCTTACTCTTTTTTCTTTTTTTTTTTTTAAATTTAAGACGGAGTCTCCCTCTGTCGCCCAGGCTGCAGTGCAGTGGCACCATCTGGGCTCACTGCAACTTCCGCCTCTCAAGTGATTCTCCTGCCTCAGCCTCCTGAGTAGCTGGGAGTAGCCTCCCACCACCAAACCTGGCAATTTTTAAAAAGCATTTTAGTAGAGATGCATTTCACCATGTTGGCCAGACTTGTCTCAAACTCCTGACCTTAACTAATCTACCCACCTCCCAAAGTGCTGGGGTTACAGGCGTGAGCCACCGCGCCCGGGCCTACTCACTTTTTAAAATCTAGAACCTTTTGGCACATAGGGTTGTGAACAAATTATTTACTTTGTTTATCTTGTTACAAAAAGGCTTTAAAAAGTGGCTTACAAACATTAAAATAAGAATAGTTAAATAACTAAAAAGTGAAAATGTAAAGTTTAAGTAGAGAATATAAAATTTAGTTAGGAGTGAGGTTAGCATTGAAGATATTTGCCATGAGGGGATATATGATTGGAGTTTGGTTCACTATAGTCTACCTACATGGAAGAATTAAGCAAACAAGAAAGACCTAAAACATATGTTAAAACCACAATAGCTTCAGCTTGGCTGGGTGCTGTGACTCATACCTGTAATCCCAGCACTTTGGGAGGCTGAGGCAATAAGACCACTTGAGGCCAGGAGTTTGAGACCAGCCTGAGAAACATAGGGAGACCCTGCCTCTACAAAAATACAAAAATTAGCTGGGCATGATGGGGCATGCCCACAGTCCCAGCTATTAATATTCATGAGGATGAGGCAGGAGGATGGTTTGATCCCAGGAGTTCAAGGCTACAGTAAGCTATGATGGCACCACTGCACTCCACCCTGGGTGACTGAGTGAGACCCTATCTTAAAAACACATACACACACAAGAAATGGCAGCTCCAGATTGATTCACTATAGCCTAGTAAATGGACATAATCCAACCATGGTATCTAGGAGGAATTATTCTCTACTTCTGTGTTTGTGGGAAGAAAATGAAAAAGAATTAAGTATAAGACTGAACTATAGTCATGCATCACTTAATGCTGGGGATACATTCTGAGAAATGAATCATTGGACAGTCTTAGAGTTGTGCAAACATCATAGAATGCACTTATACAAACCTAGAGGATATTGCCTAGTATATACCTGTCTATACAGTATACCCTATTGCTCCTAGGCTATGTACCTGTATAGCAGATTACTATATTGAATACTGTAGACAACTGTAACACAATAGCAAGTATTTGTGTGTCTAAACATAGAAAAGGTACAGTAAAAATATGATATTATAATCTTATGGGACCACCATCATATATGCTTGCGGACCAAAAAGTTGTTATGGAGGTGAATGACTGTACTCTGATTATCTATCTTCAGTTCTTTACATTTCAATATCATGGCCAATAATTTTACTTTACTTTTCAATATATTTTAAAATAAAATAATAGTTTCCTTATTTACATTAATATATAATTTTAATTATAATTTAATTATAAAATTATAATTATAAAAATTATTGTAATTATAATTTTATTATGTATTCATTTATATTATATTAATATATTATTTATTATAAGGTATTATTTGTTATTTATTATATTAATTTTTATATAAATATAATAATTTTAACTGTAACATTAAATTTAATCATAATTTAATTATTGATACATAATTTAATTATAATATATAATTATATATAATATTAATTAGGAGAAGACTTTGCATAAACCCCAACAAAATAGACGTTGAATTCAAAATATGGGGAAGCTAATATCAAATATATTGGCCCTACATTATATGTTTTTATTTTCAATCGTAATTATATATTATGAGTCTTCTCTTCTTTGTTCCTGTCATACATCGGCGTTGCAGGACAATAATCATAGCATTAAAGAGTATGGTATTATATTTTGTTACAAAAGCTTCTCTGAAAATGTGTCAGTTGGGCCGGGCGCCATGTCTCACGCTGTAATCCCAGCACTTTGGGATGCTGAGGTGGGTGGATCGCCTGAGGTAAGGGGTTTGAAATCATCCTGGCCAACATGACAAAACCCCGTCTCTACTAAAAATACAAAAAAATAAGCCGGGTATGGTGGCACATGCCTGTAATCCCAGCTACTTGGGAGGCTGAGGCAGGAGAATCGCTTGAACCTGGGAAGCAGAGGTTGCAGTGAGCCGAGATCGCGCCATTTGCACGCCAGCCTGGGCAACAAGATCGAAACTCCATCTCAAAAAAAAAAAAAAAAAAAAAAACTGTCAGTTGATACTGTACTATTGATTATTTGTTTGTTTTTTGGTCTACAAAAGTTCCTGATTCCAAGGGACATTATTCTTTTTCTCCCTGAAAAGAGACCAGGGAAACATTAAAAGAATAATAAAGAAGACTAAGTAGCTGGACAGTTCTGATCTAGGCACACTCAACTCAGTATTTGGGATTTTCAGTCAGTCTCTTGATTCTTCTGCATCTTGGTTTTCTCATCTTTAAAAGTATTTGGTTAGGATGGTGATTGCTAAAATCCTCTTCAACTAAGGTGTTTTAATTTCATTAGAAGCAACACATTATTGAGAACAAATTTTATCACATGAGTTTCAGTGACACTCGAGAAACCTTAGATATTGTCTGATTCTGAAATAAATTTATGTTAAATACAAACATGGATCAAGTAAGCTTCTCCTCCAGGATCTAGCTAGGTTATTAAGAAATGTTTCTTAGCAGTATTATTTGAAGTCTTCTTATATAGACAGATATTGTACTTTCTAAGCCGTATCAACTGTAGAAACATTGCTAGATACAGTACCCTTTAAAAAAAAAACTCAATCTCTAAAAAATGATGAAAATAATTTACAAATTAGATTATTTTAGAAAACAATGACATTTATGTAGTATAACAACCATTATGTCTCACTCAGAAAAAAAATTTGGGGTCAATCAACTATTGTCTCTCACCATTGCTGTGGCATAAACTTAAAATGTATTTCATTAGACTTGTCATTAACCGACTTCAGTATCCTAAGAACCATCCTCCCCTTGGAGAAAAAATCATGCTTTAAACCTTCTATCGTTTTTTGTCATTCACATTTTTGCCACAGCATTTTCTGGATATTGCATGTCCAAGTGAGATGCAGCATTTAACGTGACCGTTTGCACGTGATCAACCTGGAAATTTTACAGAAGTTACACAAATCTGAAAGTATTATTATCATTGATGGCTACAATGGTGTCCTAAAGATTTGTAGATGTTCTGAACACTACATCCTATTGCTTTTCCCAGCCCCCTGCTGCACTGAAATTTAATCCGTTTTCTGTATTTTTTGAAGCAGAGCTGTCACTGGCGGTAACATACTTTTGCATATGCATCAGTTTGGCTCTAGTACAGATTTTTGTTCACACTGGACTCCTACTGATATGCACTGATACAAAGTCTAAAAATTACATTTAATTTTATATAGCTTATAAGTAGTCCCAGAGAGTATTGGATCCTAAAAGCTAATATTTTTCAGACATAATCAGCAGGAATAGGTAATGTATTACCATTAGTCACATTAGCAGCAATTGTAACAAAAGGAAACAGTAAACATAAATGCTCTCAGCAACTTCATTCTTTACAACGAATATTAATATAAAATTACACAAATTAGAGTTGCAGTTTAACATTATTCAACATGTTTATTCATAATGATTGTTTCACATTTAAATAACACCAAAATATTGTGTTTTGTCAGCCAAGGACAATAATAGTTTAATAGTAATTTATTTTAAACAGCTACTGATAATACAACCAATCAACACATTAAGTGGTGCCAACATTGGCATCTTGCTAAATAATCTCTAGACATTGCACACAGAGTACATCTTTCAAAGATAAGTCAACAAGAGCAATCAGAGCAGAAAATTAGAATTTGGTATCTTAGAATTAAAATACAGCTAAAGTTTTAATTGGGGTGATCTAAAAGGGCACTTGATGTAATGATCTCTTTCATTTGTTACTAATTGTTTGTTCCTGACGAAGAAGAAGCCTACACAGGAATGTTGTTGAATTGAGTTAAGATGGCAGTTTCCTTAGCAGCTATGTTTTACTGTTAAACAAAAGAGTGGGGAGGGGCAACCTGCCACGGAGAAATCTTTCTTCAGCTTGTTTCATATCACAAGAATTATACCAGGAGATTCAGGGTCAGGTATAGCAAATATGGAATAATTTGTATGTGGTCAAAAGAGAATAAAATTGGCTTACAGCAATGCTATAAACTATATTGGTAGACTGAAGTAAAACTATCTGTCTATTGCGCTTACAAGTCAAGCTGGAGTAGAAATTCCTGATTCGAACTGCTCACAATGTCTTCTTGCAAGGGAGTCACATCCTAGAGTACATCTACAAATGACATCAACTTTCATCTCATTTTAACTTCAGTTGAAAATTTCAGTCTCTGACACTCACAGACCAAGGCAAAATATCTTCTACTTCAAAAACTCATTTTGTATTGCTGAATTGAAGAGAAGTTTTAGCTCTAATTTTTACTAGTAACTGTTTCAAAGTATCTTAGGAGAGAAAACAGAGAATGCTTTTTATATGTTTAACATATTTCCATATCTAATTTTCAAGAACCTTAAAATACTGCTAATTTTTAAAAGCATACAGTATGTCAAAATATATACATATTTATATATTCACCATTAGTTGTATGAATAAACTTTGCTTTCTCCATATGTTCTTTTAAATTATTATGCTGTCTAATCATTTCCTAGAAGTTATCCTGAGTTTATTACAACCATCTTGAATGGCTTTTTAAAAAGTAATGCACTACTAAACCAAGTTTTAGATCGCTTAAATATATTACGTATCTCAAGAAAAATGTAGCAGTACTATAATTGCTATTTGTGAAATTTTAAAATCTAGTATATAGTAGGCACTTTCTGGGCCCTGGGGGCATAGTCCTGAATGAGAGAACATGTCTCTGCCCCAGAGAGCTTACATTTTAATAAAGAAGACATAACATAAATCAGTAAACAAATAAATATATGTCAATACCACATAATGATACATTCTATGAAGAATTTTAGGGAGGGAGTAATAAGATACATTTGGAGATAGGGTAGTAAGAGATGGCCTCTCTTGAATGGTGACTTTGAGCAAAGATGAAATGAAATGAGGGTGTGAGCCATGCAAAGATCTGGAGGAAAAGCATTCAGGAAGGGAACAGAAAGAGCAAAGTCCGTGGGGGCAGAAACAAATTGTTGCATTGAGGAACCAAAAGGAGACCATTGTGGCTATGTGCTCATGGTAGGGAGTGGGAGAATGAGCTCTGAGGAGAAAGGTGAGCACTGCCAGAATCCTGGAAGGTTGCATAAACCATGTCAGATAATTACTTGTGGAGGAGTTTCAGCCTAATTTCCTTCTCAGTTCTTATTTTTTAGACATGCTTATGTGCTGCCCTTATTTAGCTTTGGATCTAGATATTCTAATTAGAATATCTACTTAGCTTTGGATCTAGATATTCTAATTAGAAGCAATTAAACCTGCATGCCATAAATATTTGTCTTCCGAAAATAGTTTAATTAGACTTAGGAGTTTTATGCTTTAGTTATAGTATTTGTTCTAGTGAGTGCAGAGTGAATGCGAAAGAATTAGGTCATTTGATCACTGGGTTCTTTGCTTTGAAAATGCTTTTAAGTAATGAACGAAATTTGCTTTGTATTAAAATATTACCATTCCGAATATCTTCTTTGTACAGGGGCTGTTGAAAGTTGCCATAGATAATGCCAGAGCTCAAGAGAAACAGGTCCAACTGGAAAAAACTGAGCTGAAGATGGATTTTTTAAGGGAAAGAGAACTAAGGGAAACACTTGAGAAGCAGTTGGCTATGGAACAAAAGAATAGAGGTATTTCCAAATTTCCAGATAAGTTAAATATTTACAGAAAATATTAAACATATTAATACTATGATGGTGATTTATTTTGAAATTGTAGTATTTTTGTTAATTTAACGGTAGCTAAAGTTCAGAGCAGAATTTGAATCCTAGGCTCATTGTATTTCTTAATCTCCAAAGTACATGTTTTCTTTTCTGTTCCTACCTCAGGAAATTGAAATACATCCATTACATCATTAATTATATAACTTTTATTGATTGTTGAGTTTAAAAATTCATGTTCTTTAAGATAAGAATAAACTCTAATGATAGCCATGAAGAAAAATTTTATGTTAATTCACAATTGCCCTTTGAAAAACTTGAGTTAAACTCATAAAGCTAAAATAGAAAATACTGATTATTCAAGTGAAGCAGGTTTACTAAGATATTTATCAACTGAAATTGAAAATGGATGAATATCTGAACAAATGACCAAAGTTAAATGTTTGTATAATTTTCTTTCTGAAGGCCTCATTTTCATCCAACAAGGTCAAGTACACAGAGTAGAAACTGATATAAATTCTTATTGGATAAAATAATATTATTGATCTGTGAACTGCTTCTTTTGTCACACTGTATGGTGCATCTATAGATAATTTTGAAGGTCATTTATATTTGCATGTTTATTTTATGTATGAATTTGAAGATTATTTTGTCTACAATCAACTGCCTCTTTGCTTCAACTATGCATTTAATATATATCCAATATAAATGCTCCACATTATTTTCCTTTATATGTTTGAAATGGTCATTTAAAAATAGTTGTTTCTATTTTGTCTTTAAACTAGCAGGATTTACCAGGTTGTTTTATTAGCTATTACGAAGCAACAGTTAGTGTATTCCTGGAAGTTGGTCATTTTGGGACACTGTCATCTCAGATGTATAGCACAGTTCTAAATAATGTGGCTTCACATAGATTCAGGTATTTAAATAATCAAAACAAGGTAAACATTGATAATGGCTGTATTCCAAGTGAATAAATAAGTTGGGTCAAAGAACTCAATCTATGGAACCAGCTTCCATGAGACAGCCATGTTTTTATTTTGTTCTCACTTAATTTTGTTTAGTCCTTTTTTACAGAACTTAAAAGCAGGCCCGGGGATTCCTAAAGTAACCCTTTGGTTACTGGAGAGACCTTCAGAATTTTATTGGTTCAAACCTTTTGGGAGGATTTACATTCTGTTTTCTTTCGTTAACCACTAGAGGGCAAAACATTCACAGATCACACCGTAAAGTTCCCATTTAATTAATTACGAACAGTAAATTCAAGGCAATAACTATCAATACTTATCTATTATGAATGTGCCTATTGAAGCAGTGTATCACCCTGAAGAGAGAGAACATGACGATCCCATTTGGTTCAATCATGTAGGAGGAAACTGTGAGCGGTCAATGGCAAAGTGCAGGGTATTAAGCCTTTAGAGCCACAAGAGTGTACAATCCAAATAAATATTTCAGAAATTACTGTTTCTTTACAAAGAGACTCATAAATAATCATTTTTGGAAAGGGAAACAGTAGGCAGGTAATTTTGTTAAGGTAAGCACATGATTTGCACACCATTAAATAAGGGAAATTAACGTTTAAAATCAGTTTCAATTTCTTTTCGTATAACACCATAGCCAGTGTACATTTTGATACAAACAGGTTTTTAAAAATATATGATACAGCAACAATACACCTGACATGTAAATTAGCTTCCATCTTAAAAATATTAATAATAGGCCGGGCACGGTGGCTCACACCTGTAATCCCAGCACTTTGGGAGGGCGAGACGGGTGGATCATGAGGTCAGGAGATCCAGACCATCCTGGCTAACAAGGTGAAACCGCGCCTCTACTAAAAAATACAAAAAATTAGCCGGGCGTGGTGGCAGGTGCCTGTAGTCCCAGCTACTTGGGAGGCTGAGGCAGGAGAATGGCGTGAACCTGGGAGGCAGAGCTTTCAGTGAGCCAAGATCGCGCCACTGCACTCCAGCCTGGGCTGGGCAACAGAGCGAGACTCCGTCTCAAAAAAAAAAAAAAAAAAAAAAAAAAAAATATATATATATATATATATATATAATAATAAAAACAGGATTATGTGGAAATTAGAAATTAAAACTAAAATACTTGAGTCGTTATTATTTTATAATTTGATTATTCTGCTTTAAAAATGTTGCTGTTCTTTAATCTGTAGTAAGAAATCAAACAGTAAATATGGAATGATTAGTCTTCATGACTAAGAGAAGCATTTTCTCATACTGAGTCTGTCACGTTGATATCTACAATGTTTATCAACCATCAACAAAGATAATTTTAAAGAAAAATGCATATTCCCATATGCTGAGTAGTTACCATATGTATACATATATATGTAGTAAAAGTTAAAACAATTATCCTCCAGAAAACATAGTTGATATACATTTTGTAAAGAACAGTAGTTATTATTTATCGAGTATGTATCATATACAAATATTTAAATTGTCCAGTTGGAGAAAAATGTTTCATAATCAACTTTTTGTATTATCTATTTTTTTAAATATAAAAGGCTCATTATTGTTACCAGCAGCATATTATTATTAGCAATGGGGGTTCATACTGCCTCAGATTTCTGCAGAGTGAAAGTAGAATAATTTTCTTAAAATATATCATAGTACTGTAAATTTGCTGTGAGAAAAATATTCTCAGGAAATCATCGTAACTTCATCCAAACAAAAACATTTCTGTTCTATACATTAACAATAATTAAAAGTATTTTTTCTAGTGTACAAAAAATATTTATTACATTTCCTAAAATTTTAAGAAAGAAATTATTAAAAACTGAGTTGGTCTAACATTGCTTTCCAAAGCGTTTTTAGGGGAGATGCTCCATTTGCTGGTCAAAATTGATGCCCTATGAGGAAATAGGAAGGAGGCATGCTTATAAGCGTTTGCACTATCCAAATGACTCTGCACTATTGTGATTCAAGGACAGAGAACTAAGCCACAAAATTCATTTAATCAAGCTTCCTTTATCAGTGAATACAAACATTTACTAAAATTAGTTTCCTATTAAATTTATCTTTACATATGGCAATTAAAGCCATTCTTGTAATGTAATAGTTCTAGGCTAAAATAAAAATTGGCTTTCTTATTATTTTACTGGGAATTATTTTAGATAAAGGTGGAGATTTTTGGAACTTTCTTTTTATAGGTAGACTCAGTTCAGCAGGAAAACAAAATGAATAATATAAAAAATATAGACCATTTGGAAATTAGCAGCATTATGAAAATTTAAAAATAATAATAATAATATGCATACACTCTTTTTTAGCCATAGTTCAAAAGAGGCTAAAGAAGGAGAAGAAGGCAAAGAGAAAATTGCAGGAAGCACTTGAGTTTGAGACGAAACGGCGTGAACAAGCAGAACAGACGCTAAAACAGGCAGCTTCAACAGATAGTCTCAGGGTCTTAAATGGTAAGAGGGTGTATATTATTGCATGAATAACTGTCATTTTTAATGCTTAAAGGACAGTTTAGGCATGTGTTTGTAGTTTTGTATGTTTCTATATCTTGTGATTCATTCAGCTATACTTGAAGCTGAAAGCAGGGTGGGAAGAACGTGTTGGGGAAAATGCCTTATTTTATAGGTGCTTCCACTGTTTTTTACTGAACTCCAGCATCTGGGACTTGGCATTACTTCTCTGCTTAACCAGATTTTTTTCTACTGAAGCACAATAAAATAGTAATTTGAGAATTTCCGAACCCCATCCTCTTTTATGAACAATGTTGCATTGCTTACTGTTCAAATCTTCCGAAAATTCTTACGGTTACAGTTTTTGTTCAACCTTTAAAAGATGACAAAGATTTACGTAATTTTAATTCAGCACCAAAGTAACAGGTTGCTCTTTTTTTTTAAAGGACAATAGGAATCAAATGAAATATGTGTCACTCTTACCTTTCTGTGCTTTTAGACTCTCTGACCCCAGAGATAGAGGCTGACCGCAGTGGCGGCAGAACAGATGCTGAAAGGACAATACAAGGTAGGAATTTGCAGAAGGCTATAAATCTAGATCTTGCTATATGAGTTTTTCCTCAGCTTTAGCCTGCTATTCAAGCATGTAGCCTACCATCTGGGCCACATCAAAACAAGTTCAAACAAGGTCAAGTTCATCTTGCTTGTTTATATGAGTGAATTCATTTTGTGCTGATAGATTTTCTTTAAATTAACAGGTCATCTCTGTTTATACAATGCAATTAAAAGGAATAATTAATTTTAAACAATGTATGATTTAATCTTGGACACAGTAAATGTGCTTTATTGAATGTGTGAAGCCCAGTCTAATGCAGGAAGGGTTTATAAGTTCTGTGCTACATAAATAAAATATGTGGTTAATCAAATAGGTAGTTCTTACAATTTAAAAATGTCTAACTACTCATTTTTATGACAGTTACTGCAAGGTACCTGCAAAATAGACTAGTTGAATGTTAACAATAAATAAGACTGTTTAGTTCCTATGTGGATTCCAAATGTTCTGTATGCCATTATATACACTTTAATAACACAAATCTGCTGAGTAAAATCATATATAGCATACCAAAGGGAGTTGTATTAAATGCTCAGAAGAGCTAAATATGTATATTGTCATGATCGTACTATTAGAAAAGAATAAAACCAGAAGGTAGCATTTATAGGCAAACATCTATTCCAGACGACAAATTCAACCTAACAACATGAATACTAAACAGTAACAAGAGCATTTGTTTTCTATTTAAAATGAAGGTGATTCTTCAAAGGGATGCCTAAAATGATTAACTGCCATAATCCTCCCAATTGCTTTTATTCTGCATTTTAAACTCAATCATTTTTAGGATATCATATGACGTTAATTGTGTTACTTAATCAGCTCCAAATATGTCATTCTTGGCTTAGTGTAAAGGAAATATACTTTTGTAAACTATCATATGTGCAAGAAGTAACAATCACAAACTTGAAGAAACATTTTTGAGGAAAGAATGGATTTTTTTTTGCCTATATTTATTTTACCTGAGGCCATTCTAATTAATTTGTAAATCCTAAGGTTTGAATCATATGTTATTATGAGACATCTTGGATATACAAGATTAATGCTATTGTAGATATAGAAAAAGATCTGAATTTTTAGAGTACTATGGATTTCAGCACAATTATATTGTGTATGTGTTTGTATGTATATGGTTATGACAATTAAAAGAATCCTCTTGCATCTTATAAAACTTACATACACATGTTCAAAATTACTGTTAATGAAAAAACCAGTCCTCTTTATCAGGGACAATAGCACCAACAAGACAAATGCAAATATCAGCACCAATGTGTACATGCAGGGGCTATTCACGCATTAGATAATGTCAAAGTGGTCTCAGAAAGCACATGAGCCCATAGATAAGTGTGACATATAAATCATCTGATATACACAGAATCCTCAAGGTGGTCAGAAGTCAATCTAGAAAAAATTGAAACAATATCGTCCTGCATATAAATGAGAGATTCGTTGTTAATATTAAGAAGTGATTAAACATTTTTGTATGGTTGATGATATAATATGTATGCCACCCATAACAACATGTTGGTTGTTAATAAGGCTATGGTTATTTTTGTTTGAATTTGTCAAATTTACATATGTTCAAACATACATTTTAATATAGGTAAAGTCTTGCTGTATGAGGCTGAAATGTTGACAACTTTCAGTTTCCATTGTTGTGACTGACTTATTCTGAAGAAAAGTTTTAATCACAAATTGCTTTCCTTTTAGTATCCAGAATCTTACCAGTGGAGGAATACAGTAAACCTATGCACCAACAACTTAATGGTTAGGGAAACAAAACATTTGTACAACAATTATACATAGTAATTTAAAACCATATACACATTTTATGGAATTATTTTTGCCTTTAATTGTAATAGAAAATCCTCACTCACTTTATTCATTCATTCAGCCTGTCCATTGTTGTACTGGTCAAAATGTACAGTTGTTTTTTAATAAAACATACTAACTATTCATTATATTTATCAGATAATATGACTTTTCCCAAATTGTAATAAGAAAAAACACTGTCAATGAATCTGTTTCTAGCTGTTAGTTGCTAAAAGATATTTTACCAGCAGTCAAACTATTTCAAGACTCTTAACATAACAGAGCAAAGAGATCATATTTGCTATTCTAACACCCTATTCAATAAGCTTTATTAGCCCTTTGAAATTTTTTTCTAACCTCAGACAAAATTCATACATTTGGAAGCTAACAAACAGAATACAATTAACTGTGAACAAAAGCAATCAAAGAAAGAATACTGTATTTAGTTAAATGTTGTCTAAGGACAAGAAAGGGAAAGGCAAAAAAGAAAGAACCAGAACTCATTACTAATTTGTGAAACGGTCTATGTCATGCCTTTTGGGAGCCATGAGCACCTGCTGCTTCACAATTCAAGAATGACACACACACAGCCTCTCACACTCATCACTTTCTCTCTCCAACTGTCCCCAAGCCCAGGTGTTATGACATTCTTTGTATTATTTCTTGCTCCAAATCCAACCATAACTGAAATTATTTTCTATTCCAAAGTAAACTCAATTTATTGGGAAAGACAAAATAAGCCCACAGGTTTTTTAATTTTTTCATGTATTTTTAACATTTCTGGCAATAAATAAATGCCACACTTGGCCCAAGAGTTAGTCACCTAGAAGTTGGGCACTTAAATACTTACTGCTTGAGTGCTAAGTAATTACCCCTAAATATGCACCTCTGGGTAGACTAAATATTGCCTCATTGGCATTTTGTATCACCATTTCTATAAAACCACAGAGGTGGACAAGAGGAATCAAGAAAGTAGTTTAGAAAGTATTTCTGAAGAAAGAAGCCCTAAATAATTTACTTGCATTTTCTTAATGAAGTAAATCAGCTCATAGTACGCAGGGTAGATTCTTTATTGCTGATTTTCAAATAACTAGGAATTCATGAATTGTAAAAATGCTATAAGTACAGAACAGACATTCAAAAATTTTAAAAAAACTTCTTCCAGGAACTGAAATATATGGCCATTAACTCTCTTATGCCTTATGTCACACAGATTTATATGGCATGATTTGTGTTGGACTTTGAAAAATTTACCCTACTCAAGAATTTCTCTAAGATCTTTTGAATCTATAAAGTAGACAGAGTTCATAAAAACAATCATCGAGCAGTGTTTTGGGCCAGTCAGTAAATATCCCTCAAAACCCCTCTGGCCCCTACACATATATATGCACATACGCGTACATTTTATGTAGCCAAATCTATAACATGATGGCTTTCTTCAGCTAAGTCGTCATCTTATTTTATTCCTTCTCCTTAGGCAACAGCATCTACTTTCATAGTTTCCTTCTTTTTTCTTTTTCTTTTCTTTTTTTTTTGAGACAGAGTCTCACTCTGTTGCCCAGGCTGGAGTGCAGTGGCACCATCTCGGTTCACCATAACCTCCACCTCCTGGGTTCAAGCGATTCTCCTGCCTCAGCCTCCTGAGTAGCTGGGACTACGGGCGTGCACCACCAGGCCCGGTGGTGTTTTTAGTAGAGACGGTGTTTCACTATGTTGACCAGGCTGGTCTCGAACTCCTGACCTTGTGATCCGCCCAGCTTGGCCTCCCAAAGTGCTGGGATTACAAGCGTGAGCCACCGCTCCTGGCCCCGTAGTTTCTTTAACTTACATATTTAGAAAATTTATAGACATTTTTCCAATCCACTCAGACATCTCTTAAGAGCTCCAGATAATAATATCCAACTTTTTATTTGGTCGACTCACAGAGACCCAAAAGTTCAGTGCACAAAACGGTATGTATCCTCTCCCCTCTCCCCAAGCCTGCCTTTCTCCAGTGTTCCTTCCCTATGGCACCCTAATCCATCTAGTCCAATATTGTCGTTAATATGTAATGAGGGCAGAGTGGAGCGTGACATTTCCCTCCCTCACTCCCTCATCCTCTATGCCCAGTCACGACTCTTTCCCTCCAATCTCTGTGCTCCCATCATACTGGAAGTTTTTGTTGTTGTTTCACTTCTTTCCCCACCTATTGGAGACATTTTTTCTTCTTCCTTGCCTTTACTTAACCACCCCTTAAGTCCCAGCTTGGAAATATTACCTCAAGGAACACTTCCCAGACCCCTCACTCTCCCGCTGTGGCAACTCCCTGCCCCCTGGGACTAGTTCTGCCTCTTAGAGGTTCTTACTACACCTTCCATTTCTCCATAGGAACATCTGTACATGCAGTTCCTTGTTCAATGCCTTCTTCTTATCTCTATGGTAGCTGGGGCAGAGCATAAACCATGCATGTTTTGTTCACTGCCATGTTCCTATTGTCTGAGAGAGTATCTGGCACATAGTGGTGCCTGCTATTCCCTGAAGGAATGAATCAGCCATCGAGGAATTAGGACCTATGTTAGATCTTGTGGATATGAAGATCCTTAATGTTCTGACATTTCTCAGACTTTGGTTGAAGAGACTGATGAGAGGGAAAAATGGATGACCTAAGAAACCCAGAATTAGACCGGGTGCGGTGGCTTACAACTGTAATCCCAGCACTTTGGGAGGCTGAGTAGGGCGGATCCCAAGGTCAGGAGTTTGAGACCAGCCTGGCCAACATAGTGAAACCCCATCTCCACTAAAAATGTAAGAAATGGGCCGGGCATGGTGGCAAGTGTCTGTAATGCCAGCTACTCGGGAGGCTGAGGCAGGAGAATCAGGCTGAGGCAGGAGAATCACTTGAACCTTTGAGGCAGAGGTTGCAGTGAGCCGAAGTTGCACCACTGCACTCCAGCCCGGGCAACAGTGCGAGACTCTGTCTCAAAAAAAAAAAAAGAAAAAACAGAAAGAAGGAAACCCAGAATTAATGTTTATATGCAATAGCTGAATTAACAGGATGTGTTTATTCTTCGTTTGCATTTTTAACTTTATTTTCTTCTTTTCACATTTGACGTAAGATTTGGATTCTATAAATACTTAGATCCAATTTTCCATTTTAAATTGATATTTCACTTACCACAATAACAAAAAGTTCATTTTCAAACTAGTAGTTTTTTGCTTTCACTTTTTAAGTAAAAACAAGTTTTTTAAAACCAAGAAAAATAATTGTTAAAACCAATGGCGATATAGACCACAGTTCCTCTGACATCTTAGACTATCTGCAAGTTGTGCTTGCAAAATCTTGACTTCACTTGAAAGTACAACTCTTTTATTTACATCCAATGACCATAATCAAAACTGTTTGGCTTTTTCTTCTTTTTTGACTGATCTTAGATCATAGAAAACCAAATATTCTTCCAATAAAAAGACATAAAAGACTTGCCTTCACATTAAAAATCTTTTTTCTAATGTAAAAATATCTTCTTTCTGTTTGCTAAACATTTGAAGATACATGCTGAATTTTAAAATTATTCAGTTTTTCAACAAATATTTATTCAACGTTGATGATATGCCAAGCACACTTTTATGTAACTGCTTTAACATTGGGAAAGGACTTTAAGATAAAATAAATCTCCTTATTGTGCAAAAGAGGGGGCTTAGTGAGGTTGGATGACTTGTTAAAAGTCACACTAAGAGTTTATTGGAGCTAGGACTGTAAGTCCAGTTGCTTTCCACATCTTGTTCTTCCTGGTTGCTTTTAGATTAGGATTGTTAAATTATTCCCTTCTTACTCTTTTACAATATATTATTATTGTTGTTGTTATTTGTTTTGTTAACTTACAGCTCCAAAGAATCATATTTCATGTCATTCTTATGATGGGAATTTACATCTTTGAGCAAGCTTTTTTTTTTCTTAAATCAAATATGCTGTCACTCAATGAATTTCCTAGTAATACATTTTCTTTCATTTAGACAGGTATATTAATAGTAAGTGGAAGTATTTACTCATTAAAATAGTTAGGTGGATTGGGAACTGAAATGTATTGAGCCTTTCCTGTGTATTCTAATTTAAAGGCAAGATCACCTAAGATCAGAATGACTGATTAACTTTCTCACAGTCACACTACTAGTTAATGGGGTTTCTGGGTTTCTGGCATTGAATCGAGATTTATGACTTCAAAGTCCTTGTTGCTTCCACCAAAACTTTTTACCCAGGCTTACATGTCCCTTTTATAAGATAACCACTCCCAACCACATCACTCATTTTAGATAGTTAGCTTGTTGCCTCTTAATGACCAAAAAGTCCAAAACAGTGTACTGCCAACGAATGATATACAATTGAAAAAATGTTTCCTTTCCTGCTTTTTACTTTTTCATCAGCCATTGTGCCTATATTATGTTTATAGACACTTCTAGACACACTGGGGGAAACCCCACTCTAAGCAAAGAAAATAAAGTGACAGTGAAAAAATTAAGACAGTAATCATATTTAGAGAAAAAAATCTACAACTTAACATGTAATGAATTTATGATAAATTTACAATGTCAGCGACAGATCCAATTTTGATTTAATATATGACATTTGGTGAGCCCCTTTGTTTCTTTTGACGTATGCATTTGAATAGAAGTTGCTAAATGGTATCCCAAGACTTTCATACTTTAACAGCACTAAATTGTATCCTACTTATACTTACCACTTTTAAGATCTTTATGAAAGTATTGTTCAAGTTTGATTGTCATATAATTGTTAATGCACATTTCAATTTCTAATATGACTTTTAAGATCGGTGTGGGAATGGGGGTTCCTTAGGCACTTCTATGGAAGCTAATAGTTAAGAAATGCTAGAAATCACATCTAGACTGAAATCTCTGCCCCATTGTTTCCCCCACCCCTTTAGCAATAGCTTAACCTCAAAAGGTCATTGTGAAGATTAAATAAAATAATCCATGTAAAGCACTTAGCACATGCTGGGCAATAGTTTGTATACAGTTAAGTTTTAGATGTTAGTATTAAATTTTATTATTACAATATATTTACTACAGGTCTTGGCAATTGGTAAACACTGAAGCTGTTATTACTTTTAATATGTAATTTACTTTTCCCTTTTTGGGAAATCGACTTGTGTTTATAATACAATGTTGAATTATTCCCATAGTAAAGTGTTTGTGGAAATGTCCAAGAACTTTTTAATGTTACCTAACCACGTTTTCCATATTTAAAAGTGTCTTTATTTAGATTGAAAAGGGGGATGTGGGGGAGAAGGAGAGGTTTCTTAGAAACACAACAAACAAACAAATCAGGACTAAAACTGTTTTCGGGGCTGCCTGCACTGCATATTGACTATTGATTAGTCATTTAGAAATAAGTAATCACCATGGGTATTACCTTAAACCATTTTTCTCGATCTTAAAATATAAATATTAGAATTATGTTACTATGAACAAAACAAAACAATAAATTTCCCTCTAGTCCCTTGGCACTGGTTTCTGGTGTTTGGCAGCATTTCTATAAAGCTAATCAATTTAAGATGTCACTGATTAAATTGAACAAAAGGTGATATTGATTGTAGGCAGTAAGCAATAAACGGACTATTGTTCTATAGTTATTATAGGTCATTGTTAACTACTCATTTAACTAGACAATCAGTTATTAATATTAAACAGAAAGTTTTAGCGATACCCATAAATGTTAACATTTTATAAAATTTTAGAATTTTTTTTATTTCAGCATAAATATTTTATTCTTTTTTATTTATTTTATTTTATTATTATTATACTTTAAATTTTAGGGTACATGTGCACAATGTGCAGGTTAGTTACATATGTATACATGGCCATGCTGGTGTGCTGCACCCATTAACTCGTCATTTAGCATTAGGTATATCTGCTAATGCTATCCCTCCCCCCTCCCCCCACCCCACAACAGTCCCCAGAGTGTGATGTTCCCCTTCCTGTGTCCATGTGTTCTCATTGTTCAATTCTCACCTATGAGTGAGAATATATTTTATTCTTTTAAAAATATATTTTAAAAAGTAATACTGTTTTTTAATGTAACTGGATATGCTTGAACTCCAAATGCTGAAGGCCTCTTGTGGGTTTTTGTGGGAAATTACTTCTTACATAAATTAAACTATACGTGATATAGACATAGTAGGCATTGTTTAAGTATGAAGCTGCTCAAAATAGTAATAGAATGTAACTCATTATAATTATTTACTATGTAAAAATATTTAAATACATTATTTTCGTAGAGCTAGTTTTCTAAACTGGTCCTTACGAAAAAGAAACCATTGTTATTATATGTCTGTGTTGGGACATTTCATGAAGTTTTGTGATGTTATTTCAATTAGACAGAGAAAATTTAGGCATAATGATTGAGCTTAGTTTGTAATATATCTGTTGTCTTTTTTTTTTTTTTTTTTTGAGACAGGGTGCTGCTCTGTCACCCAGGCTGGAGTGCAGTGGTGCAATCACAGCTCACTGCATCCTCAACTTTCCAGTCTCCAGCAATCCTCCCACCTCAGCATCCTGAGTATTTGGGACCACAGACGTTGTGTGTGAGAATGCCCAGCTAATTTTCATATTTTTTGTAGACACAGGGTTTTGCCATGTTGCTCAGGCTGATCTCGAACTCCTGAGCTCAAGCGATCCACTTGCCTCGGCCTCCCAAAGTGATATGATTACAGGCGTGAGCCGCCGCACCCTGCCTGGCATCATGTTTTTCTAGTAAAAATAATGTAATAGGGGGTTGGCACTATGAGAGTTCGGGAGATAAATTACTTTAATCTGGGAATATCAAGAATGATGGATTGAAAGTGGAAGTTTAGAGAGGGGAAGTAGACATCGTGCAACTAAATTGCCATTAAATATTGAAACAGAGAGTTATTAACAGAAAATATAAATGTCTTGTTAGCATAAATAAAGTTGAAAAAAATAAATTAAGTTGGCTTGCTCATAAACATGTTTGTGGTTGGGCTTAAATAGTATCTGGAAGACCAATAGTCAAAAATAGTGATATATGGAAACTGGGAAAGATATTAGCAGGGGACCCTAAAGATCAATGCTAGATCCATTTTGATTTAACATCATAATTAGTAGCATGGAAGAGTGGTTAAACAGTGCACCGGTGAAATTCACAAGTGATCCTAATTTAAAAGTTGTGACACATCTCTGCGGTCAGTATAAACATGCAAAATAAACTTGGGGAATTTAGAAATTTAAGGAAGAATGAAATAAGATTACCTTTGTAAGAAAGAAAATTTAATTTTAACATCTGTTTTTAAAGAATATTAAGAAGCTCAACAAATATCAATGATAGTATATGCCCACTTACATCTTTTTATGGTACTATAGTAACAACAATTAGCTGCGGGGCTGAGGGGAGTATCAGACAAGAGGTAGAAAAATCAGCTGCATTTAAATTTCATATATGTATTTGTACCGATGATACTTTTTACTACTATGAATTCCAAATAACTAGGAAGTTGCTTTTTCATTATAGTCAATACGTTAATTTTTAAGCATTTTTATACAGTATAGTATTATCTTCAGATTTATGAAAAATATATTTATAAGGTTTTGCTTTGAGTTTTTTTAACCTTTATTATCAAGTGAAAAAAATGATGGTTCAGTTGGAGCAAGTTATCCAATTAACTTGTTCATCAAACATCATCACAACAAAAAATGTATATAATGACTACAAAAGCTGAAGAAGGTTATCATTTAGTAATATAGATAACAACTAACTCTAATAGTTCATATTCACAAAGCCTGCTTCCTCTTTTTGTATTCATCCCCCATGGTAAGGATATCCTAGCCATCTTAGAGAAACTTTAAGAAACACAGTGGCTTCTTTAAGATAGAGCATAAATACAATTAATTTTTTTTCTGAGAAATGTTATACTTCAAGAGTCATAAAAGTGATCTGAAAATATTTAAGTAACAGAAAAAGAACCCCCATTTTAAATCTGTTCATTACAATACAGATTTGTATGAGCAAAATAAAAAATTGGTATACAAATGCATGGTTATGGAAAGTGTGTTATTAATTTGATAGCATGTATATATTTAGACATTCTAAGCATATAAACTCTTTGATATAAATTCTTCTTTAGAAAAAAACATAATCATTTAAACTATAAATATAAAAATGCTTATAGTGCATTATCCTACCTCCCATGGTTAGGGACAGAATGCAGACATGCCACAATAATGTTGTTTTATTTCTACTGTTCAAACCATATTAATGAGAACATCATTTTGGAGAACTAATTATTTCTATTTGTCTTGTGTCACACTTTCTAATTCCCCTATATTAGCACAGCCAAAGCAAATTAATTGCTTTTCCAGTAGTTGAACCTTGTCCAAGAATGAGCTCACATTCCCTTCCAGTTTCCCTGTTTCTGGGAGTGCATTGTGTCAGAAATTTCTCTTGATACTAAACATAGTCTTGAGAATATCTTTACAGATTTCTGTGTGCTCACTTGATGAAATTTCTAAGTTTAAGTGACCCGCCAAGAAAGATAAAGTTCTTAGCTGCAAGATTATACATCAAAACAGTTAAAGTGAAATTAAAATTAAATGAATGAATCTCACTGAAGCAAAAAAAGCAGTAATTAATGGTTCCCTTAATTGTCTTCATAAAATATTTGCATGGGTCTAATTTGCATAATTTGCATGTATTAATTAATCTTTCAAAGGAATTTTGTGCTGAGAGAAGCCAAAAAATCTCTTTGTTTTATTTAAGAGCTAATGAAATATTTATCTTCTTTAATGAACTTCTCATCTTCATTAAAATAAAAATTGCACAAGTTTGTATGTTTTAAATGTTTTTATAATTGAAGTATTCAAAAAATCTCTTTAGTCTTACAACAGCTGAAAAACAAACATATTATTTTGCATTCAGTATCATTTTAACAACAGCAACACTTTAAAATAAAGAAAGTTCAATTTCACTTTCTCAAAGATGGCAAATCATATGGCAAATACATACAGCGATTTAGTTTTAAAAATAAGATTTATAAAGACCAGCTCATTTTTTTTAATGACAATGTTATTTTTATGGCTGAAATACTGGGCAATTAGAGGGTATGGGTATTTTTCTCATCCATATGAGAAAAATCAGAATGTTTAATTGTTTGGGAAATGGTTCATTGGTTGAAAATATTTTAGCTGGTTAAAAGAAATTAGTCTGTAAAAATCTATTTGTTATTATTAACAACTGTTAGATTGACTGACAGTGTTTCCTGGCAGAAACTACACAGTTCTAACTTTATTCTAAATCTATCTGCTAAAGAATTGCAGCAGGAGTTTCTCCTCTCACAAACTAAGAGATCATAATGAAAACCAAGAGCCGTGCCTTGGAAGGGATGAAATCCAAAATCTCATCAAGTGCCAAATAGTATACGTTCAAGGGAACTGAGGAGGAATGGAAGGAGAGAGCCTGGAAGTTAAAAAGACATAAGGGAAAGGATATTGGTGATCTCTTAATGGGATTGTTTTTGACACAGCAGTGTTTCAGGATATTACCAAAAAAGAACATCATCTAATACTTCCAAAGCAATTTAAGGTTTACACAACTTTTTTACAGGCATTATTTTTATTGATCTTCACAGTAAACCCATTTTATATTTGACGAAACTGAGGTACATAGATGTAAGTCACTTGGACTCAAACTGTAAATCCAGAATCTTTGAGTTCCTTTGTCTCCATACGCCTTGCTTCCTACGTGACAGCAATCTTTTTATGTCATGAGAATTTATGAAGTGGCTGTGAGTGACTAAATGTTAAAGTAGATAATGAGGGTGGCATAAATTTATGAGGATTAAGATTCAAAATGCAAATATATAGTCTTTCTATGTAAAGTTTAGTAATGTGATAAAATCAATTAAATTGACTTTAAGTTTCCTGTAGGATTCATCTTTAGTAAAAAGGCATTTTCATTAGCTTGCATTTTTCTCAAGACGTTTTCTCTAAAATAAAACAAAGTTTAGTTTTCTCTAAAATAAATTCACTAGTTTACAGGGATAATTAATAAATCAGTTACACAATAAATGCCAATACAGATTTTATTTTACTAATATCGATAATGTATTTAAATAACTGGTTTTAAAATGAGTAAAATTAACATTAATACAGTTTAGTGCTAAGAGAGTAGTGCTGAACTGAGAGTAATAGTCTAGTGTCAATACTATCATTCATTAATGTTGTGACCTTGGTAACTCACTTTAACTGCTAAGTCCTGTTCTAACACTGATATTTTTATTCTGTCAAAATGGCAAAGACATCTACTTTGTTCACTGAGTATAGACACACAAACACATGCACACACACGCATATGTATTCATGGTTTATGTGTGTGTGTGTGTGTGTGTGTGTGTGTGTGTGTGTGTGTGTGTAGATAGATAGATTCTAGACCTGGAATTCCTGGGTTCAAATTCCCATGCTGCTGTTAACTGTATAATACTAAGTATAATACCAAGTGTGTAAATTACACTGTTTGATGTTTTGGGTTCCTAATCTGTAAAACAAAGATGATAATAACATTTTATTTGTGAAATTGTTATGAAGATTAAATGAATTAATACACGTAAAGAAGTTAGAACAGTAACTGGTAGAGGCCGAGTGTTGAAAAGATTTTGCTATTTTTACAATTATGCACAAATTTAATGTAATAGTAGTTGAAATTGTGTTTATTTTTGGTAAAAATTAAACATATCTTGCATTCTCCTCAGTCAATGATTTTTTTTTTCTGTATGTGATACATAGCTGTTCTTTGAGGCATGATTGAGCTGGAAAATGAAATAAATATTCACCAGATTTTCCAGAGCATTTAAAAAATTCATGACATGGTGTGAATTTCAATAATTACATCAATTAAAACAATATAGCACAAGGAGTTTTATTTGCAGCTACATATTATATATAATTATTTATCTCTTTCAGAATAAAAAATAAACTAGTTATTGTTGGCTCAAATTTAAGATGGAAGCATTAGAGTGTCTTGATTTTTCTATTATATTTGGCAAATTTCTCCTAATATGATTTGTATTTTCATATAGTGTGGAGTAACTGCAGACTCTTCTAATTCATATATAATCACACTCCAGAGATAGTAAATCTCCAAACATAGTTCCACTTAAGCTTACTAATTACACCTATAAAACGATGAATGATGGCTACAAATTATTGGATCTGACTTTCATTCTTTATTTATTTCTCCCTGGGAGAAAGAGTGCTGGATGGGGAGATTTTAGACCATAAATTATTTCCATACATATTCAGGTGTGCTATGTTTAACTTTGATTTCATACCCTGGTTTAACATTTACATTTAGTTCATAAGGCTTATGAAGTCATCTTAACAGAATTAAGAACTAATTATTTGATTTCTATGGTAAAACAATATTATATTAATAATTTTGATGTCTTTATTTTCTTAGTGGTTTATACTGGTTAATATAGTTTTAGGCCTCTCTTGTTCCAAAGTATCATTGTCTTTTGACTGTCCTTACCAAATTTCTCCAGAGAAGTTATATACAATTTCACAACCTGGGCCTTATTCATAGTTAAAGGATAGTGATTTGGAGAGAAATTTCACTAATGAGAAATGTAAGATAGCAAGAATGGAAAGCACTTTCCTCTTCTAAACCCAATAGATAGTAATGAGTGCCAGCCAACCCCAATGGGACCATAAGCCCAGTAGTACCATATTTATTCTCTAAAGGAACTCCAAATACATATTTATATGCAAAGTTGCAGATTCTTAAAAGCAATGTAGAAGCCTGAGTATGATGCGGGCTTATTTATGTTCTCTGATAATAGTAAGAGAGATTTTTTAAAACCTCTGAATAAAAAACAATTATAATACAGCATAAACAAATTTGAAAATAGCAGTTCAGTCATAAATAAAGGAAAAAGCTCCCAAAGCTCTTTTGAATGAATGCGATGACTTCTCCTAACTGCTTTGAATTCAGACTTACTTTTGAGATAATATTTTGAGGGCCATCTTCCTACATCTTCTTTTACATTTATGCCATTCAGATTAACACCATTGTGTTAGGCACTTAAGTGGTATAAATATTGCAAAGGATAAAAATGCCCAATATTTTTATTATGTAAATTCTAATTATTCTTCTTAAATGATTTGAAGGAAGAACATTTAAAGAAATTGCAGAAGATGCCTTAATTTAAAGGGTTGATTTATTATATAATATAGTAGCTAATAGGCTTGTATTTCCCTAAGAGTTCAGGACCTAGCCTGGTTAATGTGTCAAAGTCTCAATTACAGAAAATAGTGAAGTAAATGTAATAGATAAGAGAAAAATATGTTAATGGAATAAAGTCACAGGTTTACTGTTTATCCTTTGGAATACATTTCTTGTAATTCTTCATATCTTTGCTGGAGGAGACCCCATTGAGGTTTGTAACATATTTGCACTTACTTTCCAAGGGTTACCAGCAGTGGAGTCAAATGGGACTGGAATAAGCTTTTTCTCCATGTTGTTTCATTATTCATAGATATTTTATTGTAGTCTTGTAATGAGATTTTAAAATACAGGCCAAATTCAACCAGTGACTTATTGCTCCTTTTTACACCCACTAATATAACAAATGAAGGCAAGTAGCCCTAATGCTTTGACTGGTTTGGTTTCAAACTAGACAGAAACCTCTTCACTGGCTCCCAACAAGACAACCGTGTCAAGCCCAAATCAAGGGCACAGGATGGGGCATCAACACCACCCAATCATCCACCCAGAAAACATGTAAATACACTGAAGAATATGAGCTGTCATGTTAAACAATAGAACAAATCTCATTTTGATCAAGAGCTGGGAATAGTATTTAGCTTAGTTTCTACATTTCCTCATCTCGTAATTTCACACTCACCACAAGAGTCTCAACTGACTAATTCCAAAAACACTGATAACATTTATCTACACAGTGAAAATGTTATGAAATTAATGCTTGAGTGGTTATAAATCAACACAGGAAAAGATGTGGCGAATTTTCTAGAATGTTTATATACTTAAGTTTTTTCAGTATAACTAGATTTTTGTTTTCTGTTTCTGGTAAGCCATATAATAACTGATTTTCTAAACTAATGTGTAAATATTTAGTTTGGTAGGTAATTGCCTACTTGGATCTCAAATGCAGTTCTTGGTTGCCTTGGTTTGAACAGTGTTTTTATGTATGACTCTTTTCTTTGTGAGAAAATTAGAGCATAGACATTTATTTAAACCCAACAATGCACATAGAAGGGCTGTGAATTCTCATAGCCTAGTGGTTCCTTTGCATGTTATTTTATAAAACACAAAAAATGCAAAAACCTTTCCAGTGATTTTCCTAATGGTAAAAATGCATAGTCAACAAAAGGGTGAAGTTTTATGATGCATTACAAATCTGCAGACTTTTATATTTTAACACTTGCAGTGCTTTAACATGAAAAAATATGTGTATAATTTTAGCAATATTAGGTGACTAATGATACTTTAGATTTATGAGAGACTTGAAAATAATAAATCTTGTTTTTCAGTATTGGCAGGATTTATGATTTCTGAATAAAATGAGTTAGCAATGTGAAAAATATAAATATAAAATACTAGATTCTTTCTTCTTTGGGCTTAATTTCAGTTTTAATTTCAGTTTTAATTTCTTCTCTACTTAGCTTTTCTCATCTCCCTTTGTATACCACTATCTGAAGGTCTATGCTTTCATATGGTTTAGCTAATAAATACAAAATATAAAGACATCCCATAAAAAAAGTTCTGGATGTTTCAAAATCATGAATTTAAGTTATAATGAAACCTCAGAATTGCTCTTCTCATGTCTTTCACTCAAATAATTTTCATCCATTTTCTCTCTTCCTGAAACACTACAACTGTTATAAAATCTTCACTGCAGTATAGAATGGAAAAAATATGGATGAACACATTCTTCCAGTATGGCTTCCAGACTGCTATCAATATACTACTCTGAGAATTATCTTATGAACAGTTTAAGAGGACAAAATTTTAAAATAGCTCTTTGTTTTTAATACATATCCTCTTGAATTTTCAAAGTCCATGTTTAGTATTTTAAAGACACCAAGATCCTGCATTAAAGTACTGCATTAAAAGTTAAGCATATTTGACTTATTGAACTAGCATTTCCTAAAAGTATCTGACATAAAACCTTTTTATTGAATTAAAAGTAATAATATTTCGTGGAATGAACTTTGGCAAACTATTGTCCGTAACTCTTGTTGAATCTATCTGTAGCAGCCAATTCACTTTAACAAATGCTTATACACTGAAGTGCAGGGCCAAAAAAAACAAAAACAAAAACAAAACAAAAGACATATCCTTTCTAATTCACTTATAATCTAGTGGGATATACAGAAACAAATACTTCTAATAAAATACATATTTAGTTAATTGTTTTTAATATAGCTGTAGATATCAAGATGTTGTTCAGTGTGGTAGGAATTTTAGGTCAGGTTTTATTTATATAAAGGTGTGAAATACTTATGCATTAGATTTTATTATATGAAACAGAAACAATTTTAATGAATCAAAATATATCATGTGTATGTGTGTCTAAATATTTAAAAGCCAATATACTCTATACAATATTTAGGTAGTCATAGTTTCAATTTTTCTAGTAGAACTCATTTTTAGCTTTGTTGGCTGTAAGATCTCACACAATATTGGAAGCATGCATCTAAGCCTAAAATTGATCTAATAGGTAAAATCTAAAACTTTAGAAATTTTGATATTTTTTCCCTAAGAGATGTAAAAGGTCTAGAATTCTCATTTAATAAAGTATCCACTTTAACCCAGTACTTCTGAAATGCATATAAATTGCTTTCAGAGTACAGGCAACTGTCAGAGTACATTCCAACTGGCTGATTGATGAAGATTTATTTAAGTCAAGATATGTAAGTCTAGATCTTTTGAGAAGCCATATTATTAACATATTTTGCAAAATTTTTGCAAACAGGAAATAAATAAATATGATTGTTTCTCAGTATGGAATTGGACAGATTCACAAATAACCTTTATTAAAGTTAAAATCTGGCCTCTGCTGTTTTTTTTAAATTCTGAAATCAATATAGTAAATTCTAAATAATATACACATTACATAAAAGGTATTCATATAGGTGAGAATAAAGAAATAAAAAATGTAATTCATTCAGAAAAGAGGTAATGAGTGTTCATCTTTTGGTATTCATAAGGAATAGAGTAAGAAATATAAGGGGTAAGTCAAATTGTAGTACTAAGAAAATGCAAAAGCCAAATGGCTGTGTTTGAATTTCATAATCTGGGAAAGAGATCCAGGCTAATGTAGATGATGATGAGTTTGGCTTACTAATATGGGGTGTGATGTGACAATGTGTCATTTAGATACAGTTGTAGAGTAAGCACCTCAGGAGATATGAAGCAGGCATTGGAATGTGAAGTCCAGATGAGAGACACAACTTTGGACATAATTGAAGCTGACAAAAATCTCTTATATTGAAAATATAGAATCTCTTTGCATAATCTTGATTTTATTACTCTGAGAAGTGAGTCAAGCCACTCTCCACTTCATCCTTCCACAAAGAAAAGACAGTAATAAGAGCAACGAAGGCAACATTTCGAAGCAAAGTATGTTCAAATAGCAATGAGTTAAAACATTTTGTAACATGTTACATTATCCTTGTATGAAATGAATGACCTAATAGTTTTTAGAAATGGATAAAACATAAAGCAGCTTTTTTTTTCGTGGGAGTTAGAAAGGATGGATTTGAATTTTGTCCAGGAAAGTGAGTGTAATAAAACTGGGACCAAGAAATTTACAGTGTTAGATTATGTACATGAAATTAGAATAGTGAATGATAAAAATACATAGTGTTATGTTAGATAATTCATGTTTTGACTTAGTTATTTTGCATCTTTGTTGATTCTGCAGATTTTATCTATGACAAAGTGTCAATTCAACTCTTGCATTAAGAGACATGTATTTTTCATGATATTGTTCCATATGGCAATATGTTGGATACCAGTCCTTTCAAGTAATCAAACTTACATTGAATAGAGTCATAAACAAAAAAGCAACAATAATTTACTCTCATTGTAAGCTTTTCCTTCCGATGCATAGATATTTTTTGCAGTCATTTGAACAGTATAATGCATTCTTATTTTGATGAAGGGGAAGTAAAAATTATTCTTTAGTCTTGGTAAATAAAGAAAAACGTGCTCATGTAATAGTGTCCCGATTTATCACAAGAAAGTGTAGGTTATACCAAAATAATACTATTCTCACACGATATTTTAAGCTTTAGGAACATCATGATCTCTTATATAAAATGCATTTGGTAATAGAGTCATCAAGTGTCTAGGGCTGCAACGTTTAGAATTTTTATCTGAGCACTGAACTTGTAAAGAAATAGAGCTGTTACAGATGGCTATACAGCTTTGAACTCTTTATACAGGCACCACGATGCTACCAAAACCTGACGGGGAAACAGCCAACGTTTATTATCCAAGACATAGAAGTTAATATTCTTAAAGCCATGCAAGTAGGTTTTCCTGAGAAGAAATGAAATTGAAGTCTGTCCAGTTGAAATCAATGTAGATGACCATGGATTTTAAGATAAAATCAGCATTTTGCATTGAACAGTTTGCTATCGTCCAAGTGCAACTGTGAATTAGCCCTAAAAGAGTGGTATAGAGTCCCTATGGTGGGAAAATAAAGATTTTTATTATAAAGTGGTTTAGAACTAAGGCTAGATGAATTCCTTAAATTCATAATGCTTCTCGAAATCTAACCTTAATTCAGGATATAATGATCTACATGGTGACATAAGTTAATTTTATTCATGTCACAATCACTAGTGATGGGAAAATAAGGCAATACTGACAGTAACCACAGCCACAAGCTATTAATTTTAATGGAAATAGTGGCCTATGTTACCATGACCCAGGGCAGAATTTCACAATGGGCATGAAATATACATATATCAGCATTTATCTTCTTTCTAAATATATGCACATTTATTATAATATACTTTGCATGTTTAGTTGTAGAGTTTTTGTGTTTATTTTTTGAAATTATATTAAAGAAGTTTGGCAATCTTGTGAAATTTAATATATGCTGAGAACAAACCGGAACTTTCAAAAGATGTAAATTATAAGTCCATAGTGCTCAGATGTTTCCTGAAATTCTTTGTTTCTAGAGATAGAGACAATTTGTAAATTGCAAAATTATCTATTAGCATTACAGTTTTTTGTAATAGGACATTTTGCCTTTTTTTGTTGTTACTGCTTTCCATTTTAGAAAGCACTTAGTGTCTTACATTTGTTATTGTTTGTGACCAGTTTGTTGATCTTTTCATGAGCAATTTGCAAAGGATGAGGTCTGTTTCCTTAGAAAATATGAAGTATGATAAACAATAGCTTTAAAAATGGTAAGATACCAGATTTAACTGAAATAGATCTCAGCCAATTACAATCACTAAATCAAAAGTTCTCAGGAACACTAAATATGTTGCCTTGTTTCATTCAATCTGGTATCTTTTTAGATGCTTTTAAGGGACAGATCTAGAATGTGGTTTTCCTCTTTTGCTTTTTGTCAGTTCATTAAACTGTAACAACTTCAGCAGTAGGGAGCTAAACAATTGCCTGGGTAAGTTCTGTCGCAGTCCATCTAGTTACGTGATATGATCATTATTATTCTGAGATATTTTTGATCTGAGAATTAAACTATTTCGAATTATTGTTTTTATTTCTGAGAAGGCCACCAGATATCATGAAATAATATTGCTCTTTAAGGAAAATCTGTTTTTATTCCCAGTACAATCAAAGCACCCTAGGATAATACAAGCAAATTATTTCCACCTACTGAAGAAGATATATATAGGTACACATATAGGTAGATATGGATATATCTATCTATATCTATCTGTCTATATAGACTCCATATATGGAGAGATAGATATATGATATATCTATCTATCTCTATATATGGAGAGGTATGTGTGTGTGTGTTTGTGTGTGTATGACAAAACAAATCTTTTAAAAGTGTGAAAATAAATAGTTTGTGATTTAGAATAATTTATCTTTTCAATAGCAAATCAGATGTTTGTTTTGATTTTTGCACATTAAGAACAATAAATGTTCTGGGAAACATGCAAGTTAGCCTTGTTCCTCTGAAAGGCAGGCAGGCTCCTAGGAGAAATCAAAGGCAGCATTTGGTTTGGTGAGTTCACATGATCTGGAATTATGTTAGCAATCTTCTCTGTATTTCAGAAGAAAGCAAACAGAGGTACTAACACACTAAAACTCACAAGAACTAAAATATTTACCTGTGACATTGACCAGAACATCTTTTCTATCACGGAATGACTATTAGTGTCACAACAAATTACCTCAAAACTTCATGGCTTAAAAGAATATTTACTACCTCACAGTTTCTGTGTGTGAGGAATTGGGGACTAGCTTAGCTGGGCCTTCTGCTTTGGGTACCCCAGGCTACAGGAAGGTGTTGGCAGGCCTACAGTCATCTCTAGACTCCACTGAGGGACACTCCACTTCCAAGCTGACTAATGTGGCTGTTGCCATGCCTCCTGTCCTCAAGAGTGCTAGACTGAGGGCCTGGGTTCCTTGCTGGCCATTGGCCAGAGGCCACCATCAGTTCCTTGCCACACGGTACTCTCCACAGGGCAGCTCAATACATGGCAGCCTGCTTCATCAGATCAAGCAGGTGAATAGATCTGGGGAAGAAGAGTGTGCCCACAACTTGCAAGTTACCGTCTTTTTAGAACCTAATCTTGAAAGTGACATCCCATCATTATTACCATATTCTCCTCATTAGAAGCAAGTCCCTAGGTACAACCCACACTTAAGGAGAAGGTATCATGTATGGCTGTAATTGTAGGAGGCAGGGGGCATTGCTGATCATCTTAGAGGATGCCTACCACAGAAGGCTCTTCAGAAAATAAAACTGTCCAGTTCCCTAGTGAGAATGGAATCAGAACAAGGAGTGTGATATATTCCTACTATTTAATGGATTCAGGAATATATCTAAAGACAGAGCAGATGTCCATGTTTGTCTTTGAAAGTAACATCATCCCTGTCTGGTAAATTTGCTTGATTAACTGCTTTCTCCAGGCTTCATTTCAGGGCAAACATTCTATTGATTCTCATATTCTTCCTTTAGTTATGATATTTCTGTCAATGTGCTTCTTGCCTGTTTGCTAGTCATTCTTTTTAATATAACGTTGCACATCTTTGAACTTATCTCTTCTGTGTTTTTAGTGCACAGAGGGCCACCTTACTTAAAAGTTCTTGTATAGGATGTTATTGTTCTCACCCATATACTGTCTAAATATCAGTTAATGATTTCATTAGGTAAGATATAAAGAAAAGTTATTTCCCTATGAAAGTGTCACTTCTTTAGCTAGGAAACTCTCATATTTACTGAAAAGTTTTGAGAGCTCTTTCATTGAACTTTGCCTGTCATTTGTCAAGTTGAACACTGTCAGAATCTCAGCTCAGCTTTTTGTAAACATATTAAATAAGGCTTTAAAGATGTAGAACTTTATTCACCCACAGTTACCTCCCTAAACAAGTATAATGTTTATTAAAAGTAACAAATTAGTCATGTTGGAGAAAATAGAAAAAAAGTAGAAAATGCTGAACTTTTAAAAGCCAGATGATGAGTTTTTTTTCTTCCAAACTTAGAAGAAAATAACTAGGCTTTGACAAGAGCTGCCCTTCTAATTGCCACCTCTGGTTTTTTTCTTAGAGATAACACATAAATTTATTCTGACATCTCAATTTATTCACAGGATTTTGTCTGTTTCTTGCAGTTCTGAAAAGATATAAAGGCTTGAAATGAATCAAAATATCCCTGTTTTCCTTCTCTGTAGCATCTTATTTGATCAAACAAGAAATCATTTTTCTTCTATGCTGTGTTTTAATTAAGTATATTAGATAATATGTCCATTCATTACTTAGGATCAGATTTGCACTTATATGATTATTTCCTTCCACCCTTGTTTCTTAGTCTTCTTTCCCTCAGAAAGGAATAGAAGAATGGAGAAAGTAATAAGAGATTTCTTTGTCTTTCACTTTGATGAAATCCAGAGGTCTCACCTCCCAATCAGGACAAGGTAACCTAAGTGCAAAGTACCCCATTCTCACTTGCTGGTACATTAACCACTCTGATGACTTCTTGCTTCTTACTAATGAATATTTAATTAGAAGACACACACAAAAATACTTTACCAAAGCATTTCTCCAGCAGTATAAATTTTTTTCTTTATTTATAAAAGCAAAGCAAAACTTTAAAGAGGGCATGTGCTCTGCTTTTTGTTTTTGTTTTTGATAAGCTTTTAAAAGATAACTTAATATTTATTTCAAATAGAGTCAAACAGAACAGTAATTTCTTACACTAACAAATGCACATTGCATATGCAGTCCTAACTCAGTAACAGGTAATAGTTAAGCAGACTTCATAAACTTTACAATTGTAAATTTGCCATTAAAACATGATAGACCAATAGACTAGAATCTAGCTAATGTCCACACCCTCTGTCGAGTTTCAAACCTGGTATTTCTGGAGAACTCTGTTAAGAAAATCATGAACCATTTGTTTTCTACCTAATACTTGAATAAACTTCTCAAAAACCTCATTGCTAAGCAGGAAAAATACTTATCATGAGAACACTGTCCGTATGACCAGTGAAACAGTATATGTGGATAGTAGAAAGGGTAAATCTTTAACTAGTTATTAATAAATATCTGATATAGCTGACATATTGAAATATCTGATATAGCTGATGTAATTTTTTTTAATTTGTGTTTGAAAAAAGAATTTAAGCTAGGTGCAATGGCTCATGTCTTTAATCCCAGCAGTTTGGGAAGCAGAGGCAGGCAGGTCGCATGAGTCCAGGAGTTTGAGACCAGCCTGGGCAACAAGGTGAAACCCTGTCTTTACTAAAAATACAAAAATGAGCCAGGCATGGTGGCACATGCCTGTAGTCCCAGCTACTCGGGAGGCCTACAGGAAGATCACTGGAGCCCAGGAGGCGGAGGTTGCAGTGAGATGAGATAGTGCCATTGCACTCCAGCCTGGATGACAAAGTGAAACCCTGTCTAAAACAAAACAAAACAAAACAATACAAAAAAACAACAAAACAATTTAAACTTAGAGAAGTCCAGGAACAGTGTAAAAACTATCATGTATTCTTTACCAAGATTCATCAATTATTAATATTTTGCCTCCATGTGTTTTAGCATTTTCTCTGTCTATATAATATTTTCTGAAGCATTTGAGAGTAAGATGCACATATTATGGGCCTTTACCTATCATCTAATCCATAGTTATTTCAGAGTATTTATTAACAATAAAGATGTTCTCTTGTATGCAAACACAGTATATTTATCAGCTCAGTAAATATTTCATTGACAATACTTTGATCTGATCTGACATCCAACTTCCAATTTTGTCATTTGACCCAATAATGTCCTTTATAGCATTTGTTTCCCTTCATTACTGAATCTAAATTAGGGTCACGTGCTATATTTAGTTGTCATTTCTCTTTAGTCTCTTTAATCTTGAGCATTTTCTTAGTCTTTTAAAAATAATTTATAAAATTGACATTTTTGAAAAATACAGTCCTTTTCTTAATAGAATGTTTCTCATTTTGCATCTGATGTTTCTTCATGTTTAGGCTCAGGTCAGGTATGCTAAGCCAATATACTATCCCAGTGGGGCTGTGTTCTTCCCAAGGCATAACATCTAGAGCCACATAACATCCATCTTCTCCTCATTTTGTGGCATTAATTTTGATAGTTCCTTCCATATATTTTTATTGAGCCCTTTCCATGTACCAAGCAATGCTCAAGATGCTAGAAATACACAAATACGGTATTTTATCTGCTCTTAAGGAGATTTATAGCCAGTCTTTCAGAAATTTCTGTAGGATAGTGAAGCATTATACTTGTCAGTGTAAGAAGACAACTTGGGAGAGATGATAGTCTGGGTCCTATGCCACGTGCATAGGACAGGAACAACATTTAGGTTTTAGCAATGCAATATATGGGATCCCAACTGTGTGTACATGAGTTTAGGCCACTCATTCGTGACTAAAACACTTTGTCGAAGGGCTTTCTTAACATTAATCATATAATTGCCTGTTCTTTGTTGCATAGACAAACAATAGATAGTTGACGATGATGATGATGATTATCATCATCATAATTTTTTGTTAATTTTGCTTGGTTGTTGTTATGGTAATACAGTTTTAAGAACATTCAGTTCTTGAACAGATTTGAGTTCATAGAATCACAGGATGCAGATTTCGACCCCATTTGGGGCAGATCCTTGAGTACAGACTAGAATATCATTAATACCCTCTCTCTTAACCTTCATAGAACAGAATGAAGTTAGGGCTTTCCTCTGGATGAGGTTGTGGCTTAAGGGAATGTGGTTGGTTTGATCTTTTATTCAGAACCCTCAAACTTTCTCCATATCAGCAATAAGGCTGTTTTGCTTTTTGTTATTTGTGCGTCCACTAGAGTAGCTTTTAATTTCCTTCAAGAACTTTTGTTTTTCATTCACAGTTTGGCAAACTGTGCAAGAGGCCTAGCTTTTGTTCTGTCTAGGACTTTGACATGCCTTCTTCACCAAGCTGAATCATTTTTAGCATTTGATTTAGAGTGAGAGACATGCAAGTCTTCCTTTCATTTGAGACCATGGTAAGATTATTAATTGACGTAATTTCAATATTGTTGTGATTCAGGGAATAGGGAGCCCCAAGGAATGGGAGAGAGATGGGGTAATCAGTTGTTGGTGGAACAGTCAGAACACACGCAACATTTATTAAGTTCATCGTCTTATATGGGCATAGTTCGTGGAACCCCCAAAACAGTTACAATAGTAACATCAAAGATCATTGATCACAGATCACCAAAACAGGTATAATCATAATGAAAAAGTTGAAAATATTGGGAGAATTACCAAAATGTGACACAGTAACATTAAGTGAGCATTTCCCCAGTGCGGAGTTGCCACAAACTTTCAACTTGTTAAAACAAACAAACAAACAAACAAAAAACCAAAAAAAAAAAAAAAGTATCTGTGTCCCACAATAAAATGAAGCAAAATAAAAGGAGGTAAGCCTGTACCTTATCAAACTGTGTTTTACAGCTTTAGATGATCTCTTGTTCTCAGAACATTTTTTCTTGTTTTAGGGTACATGTGCACAACGTGCAGGTTAGTTACATATGTATACATGTGCCATGTTGGCGTGCCGAACCCAGTAACTCGTCATTTAACATTAGGTATATCTCCAAATGCTATCCCTCCCCCTCCCCCCACCCCACAACAGGCCCTGGTGTGTGATGTTCCCCTTCCTGTGTCCATGTGTTCTCATTAGAACATGTTTTCAACTAACCTGTGTTCTCTCATGTACTTTCTTATTTGAAGAGAACTGAAAAAATATATAAAAGCGGTTTGTGATTACAATTTTTTGGTCTAATTATTAGCCACAATCAAGAACTTTACTTCATACCAGCCTTTTTTAAAAAAATTTTTAATGATGCAATAAATTCGTTTACTTTAAGCTCTGGGATACATGTGCAGAACATGCATGTTTGTTACATAGGTATACATATGCCATGGTGGTTTGCTGCACCCATCAACCCATCATCTAGGTTTTAAGCCCTGCATGCATTAGGTATTTGTCCTAATGCTCTCCCTCCCCTAGCCCCCAACCCCTGACAGGCCCCAGTGTGTGATGTTCCCTTCCCTGTGTCCATGTGTTCTCATTGTTCAACTCCCACTTATAAGTGAGAACATGAGCATACCAGCCCTTTTTAGTAAGGCACATTATCTACTCTGATTTCAAATAAGCAAGGCCATGTTGGTCTATTATGTAATTCATTACCTATTTCTTTTCTTTCTTTTTTTTTCTTTTTTGAGACAGTCTCACTCTGTTGCCCAGGCTGGAGTGCAGTGGTTCGATCTCGGCTCACTGCAATCTCCGCCTTCCAGGTTGAAGCAATTCTCCTGCCTCAGCCTCCTGAGTAGCTGGGATCACAGGCATGTGCCACCACGCCCCGCTAATTTTTGTATTTTTAGTAGAGACAGGGTTTTGCTGGTCTCAAACTCCTGACCTCGGGCCATCTGCCTGCCTCGGCCTCCGAAAGTGCTGGGATTACAGGCATGAGCCACCATGCCCAGCCACTTCATTACCTATTTCTTATTGTGGTGTATTTGGAGTGTACAGACAAAGTACCCTAGTTGTTGTACTTTCCTGCACACAGTCTTTGCTTATTGTCTAGAACAGCACCCAGTGCTAATGGAAAAAGCATATAAAGAGGATATGAGGTCTAATATGATGTCTAGTCCTCTCTCACCTTGACCCAACTCTGTAGGCCTCAGGTTCCCCAGTTACAACCTTGAAAAAAAAAAAAAACCACAGAATCTGTTACTACTTTTTCAGTTTTTACTTTTTAATTATATTTAAACACAGCTTTGAATATATTAGTCTTCAAACATCTGGAAATCACTTGCACTGTTATTATCTGCATTTCATGAGAAGAACTGATAATTATTCAGTATCCTCTTATAAATGGGCCTGTGCAGAACATCAGTCTCACTAAAATATTTCTCATGTTTAATGTAGACTTTGTGTCTCTGCTTTCTTGCTTTAGCAGTAGCAGAATGTTCTTACTCTAAATATAAAATTATAAAAAAAGCAAGAAACAATATTTTCTTTAATTAGCTTCTTCCTTTGGGGGTTTTAGAAGAGGGGTTATGACTTGACAAAGATCCTTCCCATCTGTTCCTGTTTGTTTGCTTTTATTTTGACTTCCTTTCGTTGTCTTATCAAATATCACATGAATCATTAACATTTGTTTTCATCGCTTGCTTTGGTTTCCTTTACTTCACATGATGAAGACATTATGTTGAGAGACACACACGGCTACTATATTTTATATTAACCTCAGATTCTTTAAGTAAATATTAAACTTTCTGGACATGTGATGTGATATGTTTGCCCTCTGCTGTGTTAATATTTTCCTCAGCTCTGGAAGAGTGAGGCATCTGCATGTACAACTGTTTTGTGAAAGCAGCAAATATCCCTAGATTACAGGTGCCTGGATATAAGTTTTGAACAAATAGTTGACCTGTTTAATAAAGCTACTTCCTAACAGAAAACGCAATTTATTAAGTCCTTCGTGCAAAAGATGTGTAAAAGATCCTTGTGGATGTTTGTGAGGGAGTTCTTCCCAAAACTGGAATAGAAATCTATTTGCATATTGTGTGATACCTTCCACAAGCATACTCCATTGTTAAGGATTTTACATGACTTTCACAGTGAACAAATTGGATTTTTTGGTGTCAATTTGAAATTGTATTAATTTATATGTCATCTTCTTATATAAAATCTTGTCACATAATGTGAGTGGGTTTTTTTTTTTTTTTCTCCAGGCTGGAGTGTGGTGGCGCAATCTTGGCTCACTGCAACTTCCGCTTCCTGGGTTCAAGCAATTCTCCTGCCTCAGCCTCCCAAGTAGCTGGGACTACAGGCGTGTGCCACCACATCCAGCTAATTTTTTTGTATTTTTAGTAGAGTCGGGGTTTCACCATGATGGCAGGATGGTCTCGATTTCCTGACCTCGTGATCCACCCGCCTCAGCCTCCCAAAGTGCTGGGATTACGGGTGTGAGCCACTGCGCCCGGCCATATGATTGGCATTAAACAAACTTCATTAGTTTTTAAAATAAATGATCAATCTGTTCAATACTCTAGTTTTTATATATGGAATAAAAGCTAAATTCCACATCTGTCTATATGTATTAGATGTTAGCAATAACTTCATATAATAATACATTAAAAAATATTAAACCAAACATTAAACTTAATCCATGAATACAAAACTAGAAATTTTGAGATAGAATTCTCCTGTCTGTCTCCTCAGACACAGTGAATAAAATATCTAAAATCTATATACTTACTGGGTCTGATTTGATGGTTGCAACTGTAGTATTAAAATCTGAGATCCATTTTTACAAATAATTTACAAGTTTTTCTTCAATTTATTTTCTGTAGATCTAAATCTGCATAGTAACAAACAGCATACAAAAATTCACACGCACAATAAACTATTCAGTGATCCTTCTTATATACCAAATGCTTTCTTAGACACGAGATACTTTCTTATACACCAAATTATAGCTGTAAGCATCAAATCACAATGAACTTTGAAACTATTAGGAATTTGTAATTTAAATAGTTTCGCTCAATCCCTACTCCCAAATGCTTTTAATTAGAACAGACTTTTTAATTAAGTACTCCCATGCACAAAGTTTAGCTTGATGACTTTTCTGTCATATCAACCTCCCATGCAAAAGCAAATAATCATTGTGTTAAAGGAAGGTATTTTCTTTGAAACTACGCTGTAAGAATTCTAGTTCTGATTTCAGTTTGACCAATTGAGGCTTTGCTGACTAAAAAGAAGCCCTGCTCCCAGGAGGAAGGCAAAGAGCAGATCCACAAGGCAGCGAGACAAATGGTACTAGGTGTTTAGGAGTCAGTCCTATAATTCTGTATGTCAAAGACATCATATTTTTTCCAGGGACAGTCCAGTTGCTTATTAGAGGAAAAGTGATAGAGTGGAATGGCCATGAAATTTGAATTCACAGAAATGTCAAATCACTGCACTTCCATTTGCTAGCTCTGTGAAAATGTGCAAGATACTTAAACTCTCTATGCCTTAATAGCCTTATTTGTAAGAGGCATTATTTTCTTGGGTTGGTGGAAAGTTTAGACTTAAAATCGATATAGCACCTTTAACATCACAGGTGCTCAGAAAATGTTAGCTTTACTGATACGAATCATTATTGCCAGTTTACTTAATCTTAATGTAAAGCTTTCATCCATTTGAGATATCGAGGAATAACTGATTGGTAAACTTGCCTCAGCATGAGGAACAAACAGGAAATATATTTTTTCTGCGTCAAACACATACAGAAAGAACCAAAGACAATGTAGAAAATGGTGGGCAGGAGTGAGATTATCTAGTTAGAGGGTAAGTATGATGTACAACGAGTAACCTTTAATATAAAATGTATGAATCAACCCTCTGAGTTGTCAGATGTAAACAGCACACCTCCGAATAATGAGGCCTCAGCTATGGACGCACTCCAGGGATTCCAATAATCTCTCTTTTGCCGCTCATTTTTGCAAAGTCTTCTCCATGGCCCATGGCTTTTCTTGCTGTTTGAAGAGTCAGGAAAGGAGAGAATATTGGGACCATTATTATATAACATACAGACATGGCACAGTTTGAATTATAGGACCATATATCCTTCCTAGCACATTTGCCATCCGCCTTTCATTCAGGTGGTTTGTTAACAGAAGGCTGAGTTAGAACCACAGCCCCATAATTCAGAAGCCTGTTGTTAGTTCCCTGGGTATGTCCACATGCAGCTATTTACTGTGGGCTACAGGGCCAATATAACTTCTCTGGAACATTATAACATTTGTTTAAAATTTTGTTCCTACAGACTTTTATTGATCTGCAAGTATGTTTTAATAAATATGACAAAATTATATGTTAGAACTGCTTTTAAAATAAGGGTCTGTAAATGAAAGAAAGATAGTCAGTCTTCAAGGGTCTGTCTGTGCGTGGTGCATTTCTGCCTCCGGTGGATTCTGAAGTAGAGGATCTCTGATGTTTAATAATTATTTAATCATAGAGAACTACCTGAATGTGACAGGTGGGGTCTATTTTATAGCTGACATCTTTAATGCTTGATACATTTGTCCATCTGTTAGGAACATTAGCCAAAAATTTAATAGGAGACATATTTATTAAAAGTAGAATTACAGCAGATCAGATACTGAGCACATAATGTATGTAATTTTTATAAACGTGTTTTATATAGTACCCATGGTAAAGATGCTTATGAAATACTTATTACTGGTATATTTTACAAATCTAAGAGAGTTTTATTTAAAATATTTAGTTTTAGATAAACTTTAACATTTCTAACATGCTAATAATTTTTGTTACATAGGCATATTAATGAATTTCTTTCTTCAAAAGTTTAACATTTGAGGCCACACTAAAACTTTTAATGCAAACAACACCATGCTGAAGGCTTCTCATTCTAATACTGGCAGAAAGAGGCAGCTGCCTCTTCCACGGGGCTTATCGTGGGGGAGGCTCACTTTATATGACTTCAAAGTGAGATAAGCGCTATAGAGTAATTCTTAGGGTGATAGTATTGAGGAGTACTTAGTGGAGCTCTTTGTAGAGAAGTTCAATAGGAGGCAGCAGAAGGGGAAGTAGGGAGAGAGGGTGTACTTGTATTCTAGGCTTCTTGAAGGAAGAACAGACCTGAATATTCCAACACAATATAGAGTTTGGCGTGCTGTAGAATAGACAGGCCACTAAACCTAGGGGAGGGAAGTAAAAGATAAGACTGAAAAGGAAAAGCAGCACCAGCTTAGGTACCACTTTGTAGACCATGGAGAATAATTTGGCTAGTTAATGTAAATATGGGTCTTTTAAATAATTATTCATACTTAAAAGATAATTTGTATAAATCCATTTTTTTGCTCCTGGATTCTTTCTACTTAATATACTGCAGATCACAGATGATTAGAAAACTATATTTAATACTTTAGTTGCTTTTCTTCATTGTACAGAGACTTAAGAGTTCCACAGTGAGTACTGAAATGTTACTTTTGAGCAAATTATTACTTTTTATAAAGTTTATGAAGGACTTAGGTTAATGAAATTTGAATTCTGTGGAAGTTGACAAGGTCTCGGTTCCCTCTGTTTAATCCTAGGAAACATTGCGTATTTTTTAAAAAATAAGAATGGGAATGATAATCTCAATATAATTGAATACATGCTAGAAATAATGAGACAATTGAAAAGAGAGTTAAGTAGGGATAAATAAATTAAGGGATTAAGAATTAGAAAGCTTTGGCAAAAGTATCAACACTCCATCTTTTTGGATACTTCTCTATTCTCTGTTACTAGATTTTTAAACAAATCAATGTTACTTTATGTAGTAGAAATCATTTGAATCAAAATTATCTTTAGAACAGTCCAATTTTTAGCCAAGTGGTAGTAAATATACGAAAGACAGAAATTTTTGTTCTGTTTATTTTTATAATATTATTAGGTTTGTTTACTAAATAAGTAATTGAAACTCCTGCTATGCTGAAACCACAAATAATTATATATTACTCATATAATGTAAGTGAGAAAAACATAGTTTGGTCCCACAGGTGAGCCCAATTAAGCTAAGCAAACGGAAGAAATCAGGCCATATTCCATACGAAAACAATAAATGTTACACAATATGTCAACATGGTACTGCCATATCCTTAATTAGAAATAAATTTTTACCTAAATTATATGGCCTTGATACTAGTATTTGATTAATACCTGATTTAGGAGGTTCCAATCTTTATTTAATACCAAAATGTCTACAGCTGAACTGCAGTAATATTTAGTATCAATCAGAAATGACAGTTAGGGGCCAAAGAGGTAAAATCCCTTTAGACTGCATATCTACACATATCTACAGAGAGAATTAGACACAGTTTGTGCATGTCTTTACATCATTGCTCAGAATTAGAGTTCAGCAGGATTAAATACATGTTTTCACTGATTAATCTTAGGTTATATTTTATATCCAAACATGTATGCTATTTTGAGGGAGCAGATCTTTATTATGATTATTATATGTTTCAACTATTAAGAAAAATCCTAGTGTATGACTGCTGAACTGAAAAGCTAAGGGTATTTCTTTTTTATTTTTTCATTTATAACTATTATTTTTTAATAGAGATGGGGTCTCACCATGTTGCCCAGGCTGGTCTCGAACTCCTGGGCTCAGGCAGTCCTCCCCGCTCAGCCTCCCAAAGTGCTGGCATTACAGTTGTGAGCCACCACTCCCAGTCCTGAAAAGCTAAGGCTATTTAGCAACTTTCAAGTAATCATTATTATTATTCTTAAAGTTGAACTAGATTAATTTTAAGAGAGGCAACTGATATCTGACACAACTTATTAGCATTTAGCCAGTCTGAGGCTAATCTCATGGACATCCCTGCCTCTGGGAGGGAAAATTGTGGATTTGAGATGTTCATTATATGTTTTTATACTTATAATATATGTAATTACATATAATATATAATTACATTTAATAATATATATAATTATATATATAATTCAATATCTACTTTGTGTAAACCATATGAAATCTATATTTTTAAAGACCTATATCTGATTAATGCATTTATTTAACACATATTTACTAAACTTACAGTAGTCCCTCCTTATCTATAGTTTATCTTCCCGTAGTCTCAGTTACCCATTGTCAACAATAGTTGGAAAATGTTACAGTATTTTGAGAGACAGAAAGGCTACATTTACATAACTTATATTAGAGTATATTGTTATAATTGTTCTATTATTATCCATGTAGCTATAATTGCATCATTATTATCTATAATTGTTAATCTCTTACTGTGCCTAATTTATAAATTAAGCTTTATCATAGGTATGTATGTATACAAAAAAAAACATAGTATACATAGGGTTTGGTACTATCCATGATTTCAGGCATCCACTGGCAGTCTGGACATATCCCCCACAGATAAGGGAGGACTACTGTATACTCTGTGCAAAAGGGAGGACTCTGTATACTCAATGAGCAAAATAGAGTTTCATGACATCTTGGAGGTAGTATTTCAACCCTACAAATGTTTATTAAGATGTTTTATTGCAGCATTATTCACAATAGCCAAGATTTGGAAGCAACCTAATTGTCCATCAGCAGATGAATGAAGAAAATGGTGTACACATACGCAATAGAATACTATTCAGCCATAAAAAGAATGAGATCCTGTCATTTACAGCAACATGGATGAAACTGGAGGTCATTATGCTAAGTGAAATAAGCCAAGCACAGAAAGGCAAACTTTGTATGTTCTCACTTTATTTGTGGGAGCTAAAAATTAAAACCATTAAATTTGTGGAGATAGAGTGTAGAATGATGGTTGCCAGAGACTGGGAAGGTTAGTGAGGAGAGTGGGGAGGGAGTGGGGATAGTTAATGGGTTCAAAAAAATAGGATGAATGAATAAAATCTAACATTTGATAGCACAACAAAGAGACTATAGTTCATAGTAATTGGTACATTTTAAAATAACTGAAAGAGACTGGATTGTTTGTAACACAGAGGATAAGTGTTTGAGGTGATAGACACCCCATTTACCCAGATGTGATTATTATGCATGCATGCCTGTATCTAAATATGCAGTGTATCCCATAAATATAATATATGCACCTAATATTTACCCACAAGAATTAAAAACATTTTTTAAAAAGGAAGGATTATAAAAAATAGAAAAAAATGAGAGGAATATATAATTTGGGCTTACCAATATTTCTATGAAGTACGACATGATTTAACATTGCTGATATTAAGTTCCTTGCAACTTACTATATCCACTATAGATTGTATAAAAGTAGTTGTATAAAAGTTGAAGGTGAGGTCCATAAATATTTAGACTATCTTTTTTATTTCCTGAATGTACTATAGGTCATTTATGTTTTCTTATATTTTAATTCTTCCAGTTACCAGACATTTTGCAAACATTTACATGGCAATATGTACTTTTCAAAGCTCGGAAAACTTTCCTTTTCTGATTGTTCTCCTTTCTACTGTACATATTAAAATTTGAATTTCAGACATATATTAGACAAATATATACAAAGTTTAGGCCATACCAGGAAGTAGACAGTTTAGAGGGTATTAAATATTTGAGAAATATGCTTATGTTTGGTATTGTTATTGTTTTATTTTTGGTTTGGACTTTTAATTTCCTATTTCTTATTAGTGCTTCATTCAAATGGATTTATTCGATGTCTCTAAGATTTGATTTCCTTTTCTTTTTCACACAACTGTGTGTTTGCTCATTAGTAAAAGTTGAATAATATACAGTGTTTACATTTTAATATTTAATTGTTGGATGAATCTCACTTCAAGGGGTAAAGGCTATAGTTCATTGACAGTGATGAAATAACCTAGCTGGCTTTCATATAAATAGCAACGAATGTGCACAATAGTTACATTACATGGTATATTTAACAACACTGCTAAAGAGTAAGATGGGAGTTCAGTCTTTCCTGATGGAGATACACCTGAGTGCATTCAGAGAAAATTTGGTTCTGCAAGCTTGAAGGAAGTAATTGTTATTCAACAGAAATCAACTAACTTTGCATATCAGTAAAATACACACACATACTCTTAGCTATTTTCTGAGTGCTCTGGAACTGATATCAAAATAGCAAATATATATTTATGAGAAGTAGAAATGCTGTATTCTTTTCAGTCACATAAACTCAGTGTAATTATGAAATTAACTTAACTTTGAGAAGATATGAAAAATGTTACTTCTTAACCAAGTAAAGATCTAATAAAAACTACAAATTTTATATCAAGTTACATCATTTTTACATGCACATTTGTACCCCAAATACCATGCCATTAATTAATTTTTCACTGTTCATTTCTAGATGGAAGACTGTATTTGAAAACTACTGTCATGTACTGAATCTTTCCTGTTGAAGAAATCCATGTTATAGAAAAGAACTTTGCAGTCAGACATTCGTCATGGGAAAGTTCAGAAAAAAATAAAGTCCTTTTAAGGGAACTTCCTGAATTTTGTGTATTAATGTTCTTTAAAAGTTTAAGTATTCTACAAAAAAAAAAAAAGTTTTCTCCATTGATTTTCACCTGTGGTTCATACCAGAGACCTGAGAATGTTTGTAAATGTACAAGTATCAAAGTTCTTACAGTTAATTACTGCAACTTGCTGCTGGACAATTGTATACAGAGTTAAAGGCAGGTCTGAATAAGACCTAGCTTTGTTTTTTTCTAATGGAATGAACCATTTTCCTCTTCTGAAAATTCTGTATCTGAGCACATCAAGAGACTCTTGTAGCAGTGGTTACCCAGACTTACAGAATTATGTCCTCCAGAAACCAGCAAGAACACTTGGAATGAACGAATGAACTTGTAGGGGGCATAGAGGATTCTTGAAAAAAAAAAATGCAAGAGTGATTTTCTGTTACATTCAATTTCAAACTCTCTAATTGTGGGTTTTCTCCTGAAGAATTTTTTTTCACATACTTTCCAAAAGACCAACAAATGGATGTTGACAACAACCCAATGAAATAACATTTTGCATATCTGAAAAGAAGCATTGAATATAAGCCAAAAGCTTTCACTGAAGGTTTTTTTTTCTTAAAAATAAAAAAAAATATATAAGTGTAACATGTTTTCATTCCAAACTGGTAGTGGTATGTAGAATTAAAGATAATAATGTTGCTTCTTATTCAAACTGTTGGTCATATGTACAGTATATAAACATAAAACACACAAGGAAGGTATTATGTATGCAGTAGTATACTAGAGTTTAGGAAAATGAAAATTTTAGAAAATATGTTTTGTCACCCTGTTGGTCAGAAAGATGTCTTTCTGGTTTTAACGCATGCAGGCATGTAAATATTTGTCTGGAGTCACAGTATTAATGAATGAGATCTTAAGCATCTGGTGACATCAGAACTCTGTGTCAGCCACTTTTATTTGTATATTGAACCCTAGCTAGTGCCCCAAGCTGCACTATTGGGAATGGATTGTGGCTGAACAGCAAATCAAAACACCAGAAATATTTTTATATGTTAACGTCATATTATGTTAATGTTGCTGAAAACAAAACCTAACAAACCTTGATGTACCAGTCCAATACCATGTAGCGCTGAGTGATAAAGTTAAAATGTGCTGTGCTTCCCACCCTTGTCAGAGGGAAGGGTGGCTATGTGTTATTTTCACTGTCTTTTTGAAAGTTACAGTATGTGTTTTCACTTTCGTGCAGATAACTGGAAGTAAAGCGGCAAACAGTGCTTATTACATGCTAAAGTTACCTTCTCTTTGTTTTTTGCATATCTGGAATTACACCTTTAAAGACTGATATGAATCAGTACGGTCACTATACATTTTATGATTTTTCTGTCATCTTAAAATTGTATGATCGTAACATTATTTATTACCACAAAACAGCAAAATCTTCAATGTCTAAGAAAACTAGCTTAAAATGTTTAAATATAGTTCTGATTGGGTATTAATTACTTGATTAAGAAAAAATTAACATTATAGATACTCTGGCATTACGCTTCTATACCTTTTAGGTCTTCCTTGCAATACTGGAACATAATTCTTTTGTGTAGCTCACTATTAGCCAGCTAAGTTCATCTTTTTAATACCATAAAAAGGTTATATGTACAGTTCCTATTTTAGCTTGCTTACAAAGGGAGCATTATTTTTATTTAAAGTATTGCTAGTAAATGATTTGTAGAAACTTGGTTTTCTAAGCATAGTTCTTCCATAACCACCTTTTGTTGTTTGAGCACAAGGGATTCTTTTCCTAGTTCTATGTGTTTGTTTCCCTATATGCAGTCTTTAAAGGATTACAACACTTAAAATTGAATGGACTTGTGTCAAGCTTTTTGCATCATACATTTTTTGAAAGATTTTTAAAAAAGCCTACAACTTACATATGTAGTAGAATCAGCCATTGCTCTGCTCCTGGCATAGAGTCACCTGTTTGTTATGTGGATTAAATAGTTTTAAAATACATATTTGAAGACCTTTGAGAATGCTTTAGTGTTTGATTTGAAATAAAAGGAAATTTTAGCAAGGATTAAAGAAAAAAGCTATCAGCTGTATGTTAAGAGAGACTCTTACTAACATGTTGTAAATATTACAATTCATGAAATGTTATTGTAAGTCTGTAACTT